>NC_000022.11:11774629-11977555 GCF_000001405.40 Homo sapiens
GATCTGGAAATTTTGTTAACCTAGAAGACATAATTAGCTCTAGAGGTGAAATGAAAGACAAAATCACTTCACATATTAGTAAAAAACAAATAATATAACTTTATAAGCTACTGCTGTTCTTTTGCTATTAAGAACCAATGACATCTGTAATTAGGGAAGATTATGGAAAGGTTAAAGATGAGAATACATGCAGTCTATATACAGGAAACCCAAACTGTTTAGGTTAAGGAAATGTCTGCAAAAGTCATATTAATTAGCAGGTTCACAGGAAACTAACATTTATTGTATAAATTCCATGGTCAAATGTATTAGGGCTCCACGCACACAACTGTGCGCCATCTATGTTACCACACAGTGCTTACTTCTTTCAGTCTTTATTCATTTCTCTCCTAATGGTCTGTATGGTATTATTACATAGTTCTAAAAACCTTCCATGAGGCAGAAATTTCATTTAATGATACAGCTTCAAAAATAATTAAAACCAGTAGAAACTTTCTATTTTTTTATGAAGCAGAATTATTGAATTTTCAGTTTCATTTATTTAATGTTACAAGAAGACAAACATATTTCTTTAATTCCTTCTTGTTATTTTTGCCTAACATCAACCAAAGCCATTTATTTCATTTGAAGGTGAAAACTGCTCATCAAAATCCAGTTTAAGCTGAGAAACAAAGAACTAAATTTTGCATGAGACATTATACACTGCATAAATATAAAACAGGACCAGAAACAATGGTGGATTAGCATTTTTTAAAAAGACAAAAGCAGGTTATCATCAAATCAATTGTTACCAACACACCAATGCCACCTCTAGGCCAGAAAATTAGCCACTTACCAACGGGAAAACAATGATTGAAGACAAAGTTCACCAGTGAAAGTTGGTTATTTTTTTCCATCCTTGCATCAACTAAAATGATATCTACAGTTCCTCTTAACACTTTTCTTACTTTCAAATATGTGGGTATGCTTCATTAGCTGAGGCCATGTTCCATATGTACATCTGGCTACAAGGGAAACTGGGAATGTGAGCCCTGATCCTAATGTTTGTAGAGTATTTAGAAGTTTGAGAATTCCCTCCAAATAAAGAGTTTTCTAAAACATTGTTAGACAAAAAGTTTGAATTACAAAATATGGTAGTAGCTCAGGTCTAACCCAAATGCAGGGAAAAAACTATTAACTCTAAAAAAATTAAATACACATTTGATGGTAATGAGAAACAGAAAAGAGGCAGAAATAGTAGAATACTCCACTAATGATGAAGTATTTGACCACAGAATAAAGAAAATTGCAATGATTTAAATTTGCATCAATGCAACTTCACACCTGATGACGCTTCCCAGTCTGTGCAAAATTAGATGTCTACGAGTAAAGCGGTGAGTTTTACTAGCTTGAGGAATAAGAGCACAGAGTTCCAGGCTGACAGAAAAGAGGAACTGGGAAATTTGAATGACATGGGAGGAAATCTCACACAACTGAAAGTCACAGAGGAGAATATCACAGAGTAAAAATCTAAAATCAGCACTTCAACTTCATTCAGATATATGATGGCTGCTACATTTCACATTCATAAAAGGAGACTCCATAGAATCCAGCAGAAAACAACAGCTAAATTACTAGTACAGAGCAGAGATTTCAACCATTGCATATAGCTCAGGAGTGAAAGTTTGGTGTTTGACTACGGAAAGAAGACTAATGTTAGAAAAGAGTCATTCTTCAAAGGAAAATAAACGAACCTATCTCTACAAAATATCATACACATAATCTAACATATAATTTAACCTGCCTAGACATAGAACCAGGAAAATATGACACATGACAAAAAAAGTAAACAATGAATTAAGACATTGAAATGGCCCACATGCTGGAATTAGAATATAAGAAATTTAAAATAAGCTATTATAAGCATATTCAAGGATTTAAGGAATAGATGGTCATAAGAGGGAATATATGGAGAATCTCAACAGAGAAGTAAAAATGATAAAGAGATAATAGGACAAATTTTAGAACTGAGAGACAGAATATCTTTTATAAAAATGTCATTTTATGTACATACCAGTAAATTAAAGATGGCACAAAAAATTATCAGTGCACTTAAAAACAGATCAAGAACAATTTCCCAATACAGTTAATACAAACGAAGAAAAATAATAAAAATAGGGCAGGTCTAGCACTAATATAATTGGAGTCCTAGAAAGAGTAGAGAAGTAAATGAGACAAAAAAAGCTATTTGAAAAAGTAAAGACCAAAAGTTTTCCTAATTGTCAGCATATATCAACTTACAGGTTTAAGAAACTCAAAGAACAGAATAAAAATAAAGAGAACCAAATGTAGACATACCATAATCAAACCACTGGGCAAAAAATAGAGTAAATCTTGAAAGTAGCTAAAGGGAGGGAGAAAATAATTTACATCCGTGGAAACAAATAGACAGATGACCTGTCATCAGAAATGACACTTTAAAAAGCAATGAAACTACATCTTCAAAAGAAAACTGTCAACTCCAAATTCTATAACTAGATAAAGTAATTCTTGAGAAAAGAAAGATTTATTCAGATAAAAGAAAGCTTCAAACAATTGTCATTAGCAGACCTAGATACAAGAAATGCAAACGGAAATTTTTTAGGCTAAAGAAAGATAACAACAGATGGAAATTCTGACCTACAGGAAGCAAGGAGAAGCTCTAGGAATGGCATGTGCATAAACGTGAAAAACTAAGGCTTTTTTTTTTTAGTTTTATAACAAACAACTGATGCTTTGAATAAAAAATTAAGTGTACTATTGATAATGTGTGTAAAATATTCTAAATTAATAGCTCTGACAGGAGACTAAACGCAACAATTTTGTCGCAACTTTTCTTTATGTTACATGAAAACGCTGACTATTAACACTAAGTGGACTGCGATAAGCCCAGGATGTTTATTATAATCCCTAGAGAACCACCACATTATATGAAGATATTCTTCTAAAATGCCAATAAAGGAATTAAAATGGAATGCTGAATATTGTTCAGTTAATATAAAAAGGCATGAAAGAAAGAGGAGCAAAAAATGATGGAGCAAATAGAACATAAGAGCAAAATAGGCTGGTCGCAGTGGCTCAGCCTGTAATCCCAGCACTTTGGGAGGCCGAGGAGGGTGGATCACGAGGTCAGGAGATTGAGACCATCCTGGCTAACACGGTGAAACTCCGTCTCTACTAAAAATACAAAAATTAGCCAGGCATGGCGGCGGGCGCCTGTAGTACCAGCCACTCCGGATGCTGAGGCAGGAAAATGGCGTGAACCCAGGAGGCGGAGCTTGTAGTGAGCCGAGATCCCGCCACTGCACTCCAGCCTGGGTGACAGGGCCAGACTCCGTCTCAAAAAAAAAAAAAGAAAAAGCAAAAATAGTAGGCTTAAATCCAACCTTTTCAGTAATTATTTCAAATGTAATTTAAATACTCCAAATAAAACACAGATTGTCCAACTGGATAATAAAAGTACCTATAAGAGATGCATGCCAAATATTATGGTATAGATAAGTTGAGAGTAAAATAATTTCCAAGTATACCAAGGTAACAACAAGGACAAGAAATCTTATGTGGCTATATTAGTATAAGAAAAAGTAGACCTCCAAACGAGCAATATTACAACAGACAGCTATTTCATAATGATAAAATGTCAAGTAATTATGAAGACATAATGCTGTATTGCTGACAGAATAACTAAAGAAAATTAAGATAAAATAATTTTGACAACAGCTTGACCTAATCGATATTGACCAAGACAATAGAATATATGTTCTATTATGCTACACATGAAACATTTATCAATAGGCTATAGACCACAAAATATCTCTCAAGAAGTTTCAAAACACTGTAATCATGGAAAGTAAGCTTTCTGACCATAATGAAAATGAGTTGAAATGGGTAAAAACAAGCTACCCAGGAAAGTCTACACTATTGGAAGATTTAAATACACCTTAAAATGCCCTTTAGCTCAATGAAGAAATCATAAGAAACACTTTTAAATACATTGAACTGAATACAAATAAAAATATACTATATAAAAATGTATGGGATAAAGTTAAGCAGACCCAGAGTAAATTTTTTGTATAAATGCTTATTCTAGAAAAGAGAAGTTCAAAACAAGTGAACTAATTTTCTACCTTAAAAAGAAAATCTAAAACAAGAGAGCAAATTAAGTCCAAAACAAGTAGAGGAAAGGAAATAAAACAGAAATTAGAAATCAATGAGACAGAAAACAGAAACAGGAGAAAATCAACATGGCCAAAAGTTAGTTCTGTGAGAAAGAAAGAAAACGCAAATTATACATATCAGGGATTAATGAGATTGTACAGTTGTAGACACAAGAGACATTAACAAGATAATGGAATATTGTGAAACATTATATACAAATTTTCATTACTTGGATGAAAGGGTGACTTCCTTGAAAAAAACTTATAAAAAAATTCACAAGATTTAATGGAACATATGAAGTAATTGACATTTATTAAAGTAATTAAATTAATTGTAAAATACCTGCACATAAAAACATAAAATTAAATAAATAAAAAAATAAGCAAACCCCAGATCTAAAGAATTTCACTGGTGAATTCTTTCAAACGTTTAAAAAAAATAAAATTTTTAAATTATTTCAGAAATAAAGAAGGGGGAAATTCCAAACTTGTTTTATGAGTCAGAATCCTGATACCAAAATTACAAAACCTAGGAATGCAAAATTGACTTCAATTTAAAGAGCTATCACCATTCTAATCTGTGATTCTAATGAATTTGGCTATCTTAGATACTTTATACAAGTGGAATCATACAGTTTGTCCTTCTGTGACTGATTTACTTTACTTAGCATTAATGTCCTCTAGGTTCATCCATGTTGCATATTGACGGGCTTTCTTGTTTTAAAGCTGAATAATATTCCGTTGTATGAATATACCACATTTTCTTTATCTTTTCATCTGCCAATAGACATTAACCTTATTTCCACATTTTAATTAGTGTAAATAATGCTGCAATGAGCCTGAGAATCATCCCAATCTCCATTCTTTCAGATAAATAACCTGAAGTGAGACTACTAGATCATATGGTAGTTCTACTTTCTTAATTTTTTTGAGGAACCACCGTACTGTTTTCCATAGAGGCTGCACAGTTTTACTTTCCCAGAAACACTGTAGAAGTGTTCCAATTTCTCCCCATTGTTAACACTCGATATCTTTTTATTTTAATAAGACCATTCTAAAGGGCTTGAGGCAATATCTGTTTGTGGTTTTGATTTGCATTTCCCTGATTAGTGATGCAGAGCATTTTTTTCATGTATCTGTTGGTCATGTGGATATTTTCTTTGGAGATATATCTATTGCTGATTTAAAAAAAAACTCTCAGCAAGCTAGATAAAGAAATTTTCTCGACGTGATGGAAAGCATCCACAACAAAACATATAAACAATACTATATTTAATGGTGAAAGCGTAAATGTTTAAACCACATAGATTAGGACAAGAAAGGGATGTGTGTGTTCATCACCTCTATTCAACATTGTACTGGTGATCCTAGATTTTGAGTATAAATATTTAGGGGACAACTATTGTCACTGAAGCCCAAATCTTGGTCATCCTCAGAAAAAAAAAGTTGATTAGGTTGTATATAATCTAATTTTACTTGCTAATTTAATTTCTCTAAAATTGCAGCTTGTATCAACTCTAGAATTTATTGGGCACCTCCTAGGACATAAACACTGGAATTTGGTGAGAGACGTCAAATAGGAAAGAACCTGGCTCTGACATAAATTCAACACACGGAGGGGGACACATGTTATGAGACTGACCTGGCCTCTTCATCTCATAAAAGGGGTTCTTGTTGCTGGTAACACAGATTAAAACTATTTCAATTACATTCAAGACAAAAAGATTAGCAATGGTATGTAAGATGAAAAAATCACCCCGCAGGAAGACGAAAGTCTCACAAAAGGATATTTAAGCTAGCCAACACTTTGAAATTCAGGCAGAGATCGTGCTTTCTGGGTGAACTAAAGTAGCAAGAACAAAGTAGAGGCTCCAATTCTAGGAAAAATGGGCCCTAATAAGGTTTACAATCCAGAAACTCAAGATATCCAGACAGAAGGATGCAGTCTCCGCTTTCAAGGCAGTAGCAGTACCTGGATTACTAAGCCAATCCCCAACACAATCATAAACACAAATTTGATTGAGGAAGAAGCTTGCCCACCAGAAGATTTAGGTTATTACAAGGTAGAATGTGATAGAGAAAAAGAGCATGGGACTGGAAAGAAAAGGAGGTAGCCCCATGATTACAACTGGAATATATGTGTCAGCGATGGTGCGGAAATAAGACTGAAGAGAGAGATCCTTAAACCCCACGTGCCTTACATCAGGACTAATCCTGGACACAGGCTGGAAAGCATAGCCTACAGGTGGTGAGGGAGGAGGAGTGGGCTCAGCTTTGAGAAGGAGAAGGAAATATGGCTGAAAACCAGATAGGGGTATTGAAATCACACAGAGGATTTGGGCCTTTGCTGCTGTCTGCCAGCAGCTGCCAGTAGTTCTCACACTTTGGCTGGCAACAAAATCACCTGGGGCAGTGATGCGGAAGCGGGGGGAGTGTTGTAAAACCACAAGTGACCAGGCAAAAAACACCTGTATGTTTTCCAATTCAGTAAGTACAGAAATATTAATTGGAAAAAGGTGGAGATCAGACATTGATAGTGCTGTGGACTGCTCCAGGGACGTAAGCATGATCTTTAGAGAGGTGACTCTAATCAGTTGAGGGCAACCACTGGACAGAAAGAGGTCCAGACCAACCGTACACAGAGACATCATGCAACTACACTTTAGCAACCTCTCCAAATAACATGTCTCTTAGTGAAACTTGGGAGGTTGAAAGTTAAAAACATAAAATCCAGTGGCATTTATGTATCCTAGGCACTTACATTTGTCTGATTCTTCCAACTTGCCTTTGCTTGGTTGGAGTTTTGGGTAGATAAGAGGTGGATTTACATGTGCTAGTGTGACAACTTTGATACACTCATTTAGACATTGACCTACTATCTTGTTTGAAAGCTAAAACCCAAAGAAATTTGTCTTTTTACATAAAACAAATTCAGCCCTTGCCTTCCTTGTAGATTACATCTTCCACTAGCAGTAATAAAAAAGTAACAATATGCATAAGTCAAAGTATCTTCTTAGATCCTCTGTAGTGTTTTATTATTTAATTGTGTTAATTAAAGTAACTGTCTCAAAATTTCAAGGAATGCCTGAGAAGCAATTCATGTTCAAAGGCTGCCCTCTTGTGACAATGTGTTGTATGCTTTACTGTAAAAGTAACCTTATTTTACCTTATAACCTCTACAATCCAATTCATAACAGCATAAAAAGGAAACAAAACCTTACATAATTTTGAATTTTAAAACGTACCTTGTTTGTATGGCTCCTTTAGCTAATGAATAGTCAATTTGGTAAATATTCCAGTGAGTTGAAGGTTTGAATCTATCTCACTTAACTAGCTTGATGAATGTATTTCTAAACCTATAGAACCCACTCCTCTGCTTTTAAAAAATTAAAGTTAGCTGTAGATTGAGATGTCAGTGACACAGTTTATAGAACATAACTTAGATTGTCATCTACATTACTGTAACTACAAGTACCACCCTCAGATGGAAGAATAAGTTTTATCAGTGAACATCTCTAATTGAACTATAAATGGTGTATGTCTTCTGGCTTTTAGAAGCTCTTGGTCTAACACAGGGGATATATGATGTAAAAATTACAAAGCAAGGTCACTCACGGTGGCTCATGCCTGTAATCCCAGCACTTTGGGAGGCCAAGGCGGGCGGATCACAAGGTCAGGAGATCGAGATCATCCTGGCTAATATGGTGAAACCCCATCTCTACTAAAAATAGAAAAATTAGCTGGGTGTGGTGACACACGCCTGTAGTCCCAGCTACTCAGTAGGCTGAAGCAGGAGAATCGCTTGAACCCAGGACGCGGAGGTTGCAGTGAGCTGAGATAGCACCACTGCACTCCAGCCTGGTGGCAGAACAAGACTCCATCTCAAAAATAAATAAATAAATAAATAAATAAATAAATAAATAAATAATAAAATAGCAATGACTATAATGTTTTGTGATGTTAAACTTTGAGAGCTTTTTTTTTTCTTTCTTTTCCCAAGTGCCTTTCCCAGTTCCAGGAGCAGAGTTATTCTAAGCCCACTGATGTAAAGGAATAGAAAGAAAAGGTTTGTTGGAAAACCTAATAACCTGCTATTTTTCTGTCTTTTGTTTTTTAAAAGCTTGAGCATTTGGGAGAATTTGGAAAGATTGTGGAGTAAGTGCAAAGAAGGAATTTGCTAACAAAAATCATATAGGGTAAAATGAGTTTTTTCCAGGTTAGAAAATATCCACTCCCTACCCTCCTACATTCCTTTCCTATGGTTAAGAAGAGGAAAAAACAAAGGCCTCTTGGTGAGCAGTGGTGACTTAGGCAGTTTCTTAGAAATATTCTAGAAGGCATAGTCATCTTTTAAAAAAAATAGCTACAAGGATATGTCTAAGCAGAAGGGTCCATGGGCCAAATTAGGTATAGATTTTTGCATTCCAAATATGGTAAAGAAGAAGCAGGAAGCTGGGGCTCCTATACAGGTCACACAGAAATGGACAAGGAAGAGGCCAGAAGCAGCTTGTGGGGACAAGATGTCAAGCCCCAAATGTTTAACCCACCAACCATCCTCCAAATTCTGGCTCTGTTTAACAAGGCTGTGGTCTGACACTACATGCCGCCTCAGTGACTAAAGCATAATTTCCCGTCTCCTGGGAGTGTTGACAGCTGACTCCTGGCAACAATACTCACAGCACAGTAAAGTTCCTTCATCCAAGTTCATGTCCCTTCTCAAGGCATCCCACATCCGAGAACTGCTTGGTACAGAAATATAATGGCCTGGTTTTCTTGCTCCAATTCGAGGTCATTAGGTAAACTCACCAAGATCCTTGTAGAGTGGACTGCGGCCATGATAGTGATTGCATTCCAGCCGACTTCCTGCTCCACCCAATCCTATTGCTTTCACTCTTCCACAGGTGTTGGGAATATCATTTCAACCTCCTTGCATGCAAATCTCCAACTCGGAGTCGGCTTCCTAGGACACCTGACTGGTGATATCTCTATCACTATCACAGTACTTAGAGGGGAGCATCTTAAAATGATTGAAGGCTAACTGCCCTAACAGCACAGGCAGATGATGGCTTAAAATAGAATTTAAGTGGATTTATAAAAACATGAAAAAAGTTGACATTGCACGCTCATATGAGCTTATGGATCAAACCATGTGTATGATTTCTAAGATCCCTCGTGCAGTATATATTTGCACTGTTTATAAATGACATCCCCTTGAATTGAATTCAGTGCAATTCAAAACAGTAATTTGTGGGAAAAATTAGATATGCAGATAGCCTGGACTCTAGAGAAGCACACATCATTTGGAGAATAATAGTGAACCGGCTGGTCTATGAGGGAAGAAAACAGAGTGAATATAGACTATTAGTGAACAAGGATATTTTCCCATGTATATTCAAATTAAAGTGAACTTCTTTAGAGAATTGTGCCTTAGAAAGAAAAAGTATTTCCCTATATTTGAGTCCTCACAAGTTTTCCTACGATGAGTGCTTTTGTGATTATTTTGAATAACAAAGTAATATTTAAAGAAACTCTCTTGCCCTGAATGTACTTTAATTTATGTCAATTGAAGTTGCATATAGAGATCATCAAAGTCAAGCTACAAGAAAAAGAGGAACATAACTTAGCAAAGACTTAGAGGATTAGTCCTAATAGTGTGAAATCAAAATTTCAAGTGAGGGAATAAATTCAGCTTTTAATGATTACTTAAATGAAGTTTAACTCTAGCAGGATCTACAAGAAATTGGCAACCTTTGGCTTCAGTAATAGAAACTCAGGATATATGCCCTTCAGTGCTTTTGCATTCTGCATCATATTGAGAGACACTCCTTTAAACAAGCAATAAGAAACTTCCTGTGACAACATAATAAATTCAAAAAGTTCTGTAACTCAGACAATTTAGATAGAAGTCATAACTTTGGCCTATAAAGCCCTGTTCACCCTAAAGATGGATTAAACAATGAAAAAGATATTGATATCAAAAATTCAATCAGGAATTTGATTAAAGCATTTCATTAAATGTGATAATTTCTTAGTATATTATCTTACATATGCAATATTCATGTGTAACAAATTATATACAAGTAAACATTTGACCATATTATCTGCAGCATAATTTACATATCAATTTACATATTCAGTTTTGCTTACATGAAAACTTGGATCTTCTCAATAAGAAAATTTGTGAAATCTTTAATTCCTCATCCCCAGGAATGTAAATAAATAAATATAAATACTGTAAGTCAGTGATTTTTTCCTAGGAAGACAGTAAAAATACTTTACGTGCCTTCTCATTGTAAACCTAAATAACAAACAGAGAAAGGCTCTCTAAAGGAAAAAGACACATCTTAGGGAGGAAGGCACTGCAATGGGAATATGCATGACAAAGCAAACTATATAGATTCAAATGGTAAAGGAAGACAAGGTCTTTAAAAGAAAAATGATCAACCTGGAAGTACGGGGGAGTAGAAAAAAATAAATAAGGGAAAAATGAAGGGGCTTCTATAATAGTTTTGATATAGTTACCTTTGACTATAAAGATCAACAACAAGGTCAATATCAGTTGAAGTTTGGGCAGGCGGTTGCTGGATAGATGTCCTCACAGAAGTGTATTTTGTGTAAGGTTGCTATGGCCTTTGTGCAGGGTGGTGGTTTTGTGGTATTTTGTGATAGTTTTTATCAGGCCTAGAAGCATGAGAACCCTCTCTTCAAGGCCTTCTCTGAATCTATTTGTTCAGGTTTCTTCTTCTCTTTTTAAATATTATTGACAGTTTTGATTCTGATAACTTTCATATCATGATCCCTAATTTCAAAAAAAAATTAAACGTGTAACTTATTTATGATCTATTTGATAGGCTTGGATTTATGAATCACCTCTACTATCTATAGTGGTAGATATATCTGAGCCTGCTTACACAGCACTTCCATCAGATTCTCTCTTCAGTGGAATTGGAAGAGGGGGTTTTGGAGAAGGGGATGAAGGAATTGTGCTGCATCAGAGGTCCCCACCTAACAGCCACAGGGACTTCTTCTCTGCTCTGGCCAGGCCGTTGTATTGGCTGATGCAAAAGTAATTTTGGTTTTGTCATTGAAAGTAATGAGACCATCTGACTCACAATGTCTGTGCCGTAACCAACTCCTAATAGCCTCCGAGGACAGCTTTGCCCTGACATATACTGTCCTGGAACCACGTCTGCTTTGTAACTCCTGAGGTAGCTGCCACCATGACCAATGCCTTCTCATCTTTACTCTACGTGCAGGTAACAGTTATAATTATATCTCTGTGTATTCACAGAACATTTAGTACATCTGGGACTTCTACAAAATTTCCCTAGCTGATTTTGGTGTTCTGGGGTCCTGGCAGCTCTAGCCATGAAGGGATGATGCTTTATCAGCATTTCTGTTGAGTTTTTTGCTTTTTCTCAAAAACTGATTCCACTTTTCCCACATACGTTTGACAATTCATTTGAACTCATTTATTCTAAACCCATTATTTTTGGTCTATTATTTAATAGGGAGGGGGGCGAGGGATAAAAGATTACAAATAGGGTGCAGTGTACACTGCTCGGGTGATGGGTGCACCCAAATCTCACAAATCTCCAGTAAATAACTTACCCATGGAAACAAATACCACCATACCCCAATAACCTATGGAAAAAAACAAAAAATAAAGTAAAAAAGAGTCAGAAAGAAAGAAAATAATCACTGTACTTACCATGACACTTAGAAATGGTGACTAGCATTATTTGTAAGTGTCACCTAATAATATTATTATTTTTTCTTTATGCTACAAACTAGCTCTGCTATTACAATCACTACTATTTGAAGTGTTACTAAATTAAATTAAATCTATTGTATCCTTCTGGACGCAGAAATGGGGGTAAATGCTCCGACAATTTCAGAAAAAGATCACATATTAAAAGCATATTATATGGGGAAAATTTGATTTTTAAAAATAAAAATTGGTAGAGAAACAATTTTTGGGTCTTTAATTTCCACACATTTTGCAAGTATGGAAGCTGAATTTATTGTTCCAAATGATTGTTTTCAAGCATGTTTGTATAGAAAACAGCCTTGGAATAGAAAACCAGTACCTCCTTCTGGAACAAAGGAAAAGTTTATTTACTGTCTAGTATAATGCAGATAATTTCTCCCTCTTGGGAAGCATACAGCCAATTGAACTTCCAATAACACAAGTTGGGGTTTCTTGAGCTTGGGTTTTTCTTCCACAGTGTAATGTGCAGGTGCCACTTGGCTCTCTTTGTGTTATCCTGGGAAAGCTGATGGCTGTAGGTGCATGTGTTTATTTTGGGGTTCTCTATTCTGTTTCATTGGTCTTTGTGTCTGTTTTCATATCAGTACCATGTTATTTTGTCTACTGTGGCCTTAGGGTATAGTATGAAGTCAAGTAATGTGATGTCTCCAGCTTTGTTCTTCTTGCTTAGATTTCCTTTGGTTGTCTGGGCTCTTTAAAAATCCATATGAAATTTAGAATATTTTTTTTTCTAATTCTGTGAAAAACGACATTGGTTGTTTCATAGGAATAGTGTTGAATGTGTAGATTGCTTTTGGCAGTATAGCCATTTTAACAATATTGATCTTTCTAATCCATGAGCATGGAATGGTTTTCCATTTTTTTCGACATCTATGATTTCTTTCTGCAGTGTTTTGTAGTTCTCGTTTTAGATATCCTTTACCTCCTTGGTTAGACATATTATTTTATTTTATTTTATTTTGGGGGTTGCTGTTGTAAACAGGATTGCACTCTTGATTTACCTTTCAGTTTAAACATTTTTGGTGAACAGAAATGCTACTTCTTTTTATATGTTGATTTTTTTTTATCCTGAAAGTTTGCTGAAGTTTTTTTTTAATCAGTTCTAGGAGCCTTTTGGCACAGTCTTTAGGGATTTCTAGGTGTAGAATCATATCATCAGTGAAGAGAGATAATTTGACTTCATTTCCTATTTGGATGCTTTTTATCACTTTCTCTTGCCTGCTTGCTCTGGCTAGGACTTGTTAAACAGGAGTGGAGAGAACAGGCATCCCTATTTTATTCCTGTTCATAAGGGGAATGTGTTGGGAGAAAAGCTGAGTGTTGGAAGAGAAGCTGAGGCAGGGCCATATGTTTCTCATTCACTTGATACACCATTTCCTTTCAACCCCCACATCCTCACCACCTGTTTCTTTGTTTGAGCACCAACAAATAGCGTGGGCTCCCAGAGCTTGGGGACTTTGCAGACTCCATACTCGTGATGGTCTCCTGGTCCCACTTTCTCTCTCAAACTGTCTTTTTCTCATTCCTTTGACTCTGCCGGACTTCATCACCCCCATGACCTAGTGTTGGGTCTGATCACCCCAACATTCCTGGCGCCCAACATGGGGTGACAAAGACCCGGTGAGGGAAGGCTAGAGCATATGAAAGCAGAGGACACATCATCAAAAGACACCCGAGGACATACAAAGATGGGGAGTGAAAATTAGTACTTAGAATTTGTTATCACTCTTTAGTACAGTAAAGCAGTTTTGCCCATGGTTTCCAGAACAAAGGACTATGAAGTTGGATGAATGGGATAGAATTGGAAAAGATTTTTAATAGGCATATAAAGATGGAGCAGAAATTCCAGTTTATATATGGTCAGTGTGAGCACTAATAAAGGCAGCCCTTGAGCCATTTCAAACAGATGATGAGGCAGATTCAGATGAGGAAGAGGAGGATGATGTGTAAAAAACTAACTTCAAATTCTGAGTGTGAGGAGCAGCTACTGGAGGAGATTAAAGAAAAGAAAGAAAAACTTTAAAAAGTATGTTTTACTAGCCCGTTGGCTCCACCTGCTGAATTAAGTGAATGGCCACCTCCTCTCTCTCCCCTAAATGGGTGAGAAAATAAATTAGCTGAAAAACTTACTGCTCCTGTAGTTACAACATTAAAACCTGGAGCAGTTGGTGGTGCTAGACAAAATTCTATTCAAAAAGCTAAAGCCAAGGGAGACCTTGAAGCATGGCAATTTCCCGTTACTATAATCCAGCAAGTAGGACAGAATATAGCTAATTAGCCTGCTTTTTCTTCTAAGTTACTAAAGAATTTAAGCTCGCCATTAGTCAATATGGACTGAACTGTCTTTTTGTGCAGTCTTTATTAAAAAATATGGCTCTTGATAAAAGATTACTACTATATAATTAGGATACTTTGACAAAACCTGTTCTCACTCCATCTCAGTACTTGCAGTTTAAAACTTGGTAGGCTGATGAACTCAAACTCAGGCAAAAGAAAACACACACGTGCAGCCACCTGTGCCTGTTTTCTTTGATCAGTTAATATGAGTTGGCCCTAACTGGGGTTGATTAGAGAATCAAGCAGTAATGGAAGATGTTGCCATTGTTCAGCTGTGCTTCATGTGCTTACATGCATAGAAAAGGATAAATGTTACAGGGGAAAAGTATCCTTATTTCAGTTCTGTCTGACAAGGACCTAAAGAACCATATATTAATTCTATTGCTCAGCTCCAAGAGGCTGTGTATAAAGCCGTAAATGATCAAAACAGCTCAGGATGTTGTAATACAGCTTCTTGCATACAATAATGCTAATGCAGAGTGTCAAACTGCTATTAGATATCTGAGAGAGAAGGCTCATTTAACTAAATATATTAAGTCTTGCGATGGCATTGGAGGTAACTTACATAAGGCTATTCTTTTAGCTCAGGCTATGGCTAGATTAAGAGTAAGAAAAAATATGTTTCATTTCTCAGGCTCTTGCCTTAATTGTGGGCAAATTGGACACAAGAAAGGAATGTAGAAAGGAATTCAAAAGACGAAAACTACTACCATCAATCAACAGAAAAGACCCAGTGTATGTCCCTGGTGTAAGAAAGGCAATCACTAGGCAAGTCCGTGTCATTCTAAATTTAGCAAAGATAGACAACCTCTTTGAGGAAATAGGAAGAGGGACCCGCCTCAAGCCCCTCAACAAACTGAGGCATACCCAGCACAGCCACTGCCCTTACAAATGTACAGCAATTGTCCCCCGCCTCAGCAAGCAGTGCTGCTGTAGACCTCTACAGCACAATTCCCATCTCCTTACTTCCTGGGGAGCCACGAAAGAAGGTCCCCACAGGAGTTAGGGCACCCTTACCCTGAGGAAATGTTGGGAACAAGCCCCCCCAAATCCGGCCATAAACTGGCCCCAAAACTGGCCATAAACAAAATCTCTGCAGCACTGTGACATGTTCTTGATGGCCATAACACCCACGCTGGAAGGTTGTGGGTTTACCAGAATGAGGACAAGGAATACCTGGCCCGTCCAGGGTGGAAAACCACTTAAAGGCATTCTTAAGCCACAAACAATAGCATGAGTGATCTGTGCCTTAAGAATAAGGGATACTTTTAGTTAATCTAATATCTATAGAAACAATGCTAATGACTGGCTTGCTGTTAATAAATACGTGGGTAAATCTCTGTTCAGGGCTCTCAGCTCTGAAGGCTGTGAGACCCCTGATTTCCCACTTCACACCTCTATATTTCAGTGTGTGTGTCTTTAATTCCTCTAGTGCTGCTGGGTTAGGGTCTCCCCAACCGACCTGGTCTCAGCAAGTAGTGCCCATTCATGGGGGCTCGAATACAGGTCAAAGGATCGCTGGAGCAACGATTGGAGAATGTGGAACTAGCTGGAGGACATCCGAGTACTCTTAAAGCAATCCCCGTGGTGAGTCAGAAGGGGAGCTCGGAAGCATCAGGGTAACAATGGGACAAGTGTGGGCTGTGGTTCGTTCTACCTTGGAACTTTTTCACACTGATAATGAGGAGGAAGGAGAGTATAACAAAGTAACAGTAGAGGTTACAGACCAGGTTTATTTGCCACCTAAAGCTAAAGCAGAAAAGGAGGGAGAGGTTCATCCCTACCCTTCTGCACCCCCTCATTATTATTTTGAAGAAAACGACCCTCCAGATCTTTCTTTTCTGGAGGACACTGGGTGAAAAGTAGTTGCCCTGGTGACTGTTCGAGCACCGCCTTGAGCGGCTGCTTAGTTCTATTCAGGCAGGAATTCAGCAAGCTAGACAAAAGTGGGATTTAGAGGTTTGGCAGTTCCCTGTTTGAATACACCCCCCAGATCAACAGGGAAATATTATAGCTACATTTGAGCCTTTTCTTTTTAAATTACTCAAAAAAATTAAACAAGCTATAAATCAGTATGGACCAGGTTCTCCTTTTGAAATGGGACCGTTAAAGAATGTTGCCATTTCCAGTCGGATGATTCCTACTGACTGGGACACTCTTACTCTAGCTTGTCTAACTCCTGCTCAGTTCTTACAATTTAAAACTTAGTGGGCAGATGAAGCTTCCATTCAGGCTGCTCGCAATGCCTGGGCCCAACCTCAAATTAATATAACTGCAGACCAACTTTTGGGGGTTGGTGGCTGGGCTGGTTTACATGCACAAGTGGTCAAGCAGGATGATGCCATAGAACAGCTTAGAGGAGTGTGCATTAGAGCTTTGAAAAAATCACTTCATATGGAGAACAATACCCTTCATTTAGTGCTATAAAACAGGGACCAAGAGAACCATATGTGCATTTTATAGCTTGGTTACAGGAGTCTCTTAAAAAGATGATTGCAGATTTGGCTGCTTAGGATATAGTGTTGCAGTTATTAGTTTTGACAATGCTAATCCCTATTGCCAGGCTGCTCTGTGACCTATCAGATGGAAAGCACATTTAGTTGATTATAACAAGGCCTGTGATGATATCAGAGCTAATCTACATAAAGCTACTTTGTTGGCACAGGCGATGGCAGGACTGAGAGTGGATAAAGGAAATACTCTATTTCCTGGAGCTTGTTTTAACTGTGGGAAGCATGGTCATACTAAAAAGAATGTAAAAAAAAATCAGCAAGTCAGGCCACCAGATAGGTGAAAAAAGAAAACTGCTGATCCTGAAATA
The DNA here is from genome assembly GCF_000001405.40 of Homo sapiens. NCBI lineage: Eukaryota > Metazoa > Chordata > Mammalia > Primates > Hominidae > Homo > Homo sapiens. Next base: position 11,791,734 of record NC_000022.11, read on the forward strand.
TGTCTAAAATGTAAAAAAGGAAAACTTTGGGTTAATCAGTGTCACTCTAAGTTTGATAAAGAAGGGAACCCGATTTTGGGAAACTCCCTGAGGGGCCCATCCCAGGCCCTGTTCTAAACAAGGGCATTTCCAGCTCAGGCCATTCCCTCACCCCTGTACATTATCTGTCCCCCACCATAGCCCATAGTGCCGCAGTAGATTTATGCTGCACAAAAGCTGTGAGCCTTCTGCCTGGGGAACCCCCGCAAAAGGTCCCAACAGGAGTCTGTGGACCCTTGCCAGAAGGGACAATGGGATTACTTTTAGGAAGGTCTAGTTTAAGTTTAAAAGGGGTACAAATACACACTGGAGTCATTGATTCAGATTACAATGAAGAAATTCAAATTGTGATATCTACTTCTGTTCCCTGGAAAGCACAGCCAGGAGTGCGCATAGCACAGCTCCTGAGTGAGCCATATGTGGGAATGGGAAAAAGTGAAATTAAATGAACTGGAGGATTTGGAAGCACAAATAAAAAAGGCAAGGCAGCTTATTGGGTAAATCAAATTACTGATAAACATCCTATCTGTGAAATAACTATCCATGTAAAGAACTTTAAAGGTTTGGTAGATACTATTTTTTTTTTTTTTTTTTGGTAGTAGTGGACATTTCAATCATTTCTCTACAGCACTGGCTGTCCATGTGGCCAATTCAGCCCACTCAATTTAACACAGTGGAAACTGCTAAAGCTCCAGAAGTGTATCAAAGTAGCTATATTTTGCATTGTGAAGGGCCCGATGGACAACCTGGGACTGTTCAACCAATTGCAACTTCAGTACCTATAAATTTATGGGGGAGAGATTTATTATGACAATGGGGAGCACAAGTTCTAATTCCATAACAATTATACAGCCCTCAAAGTCAACATATGATGCAGGAAATGGGGCATGTCCCTGGTATAGGAGTAGAAAAAAATTGCAAGGTTTGAAAGAACTGCTTCAAACGGAAAGACAAAGTTCCTGCCAAAGATTAGGATACCATTTTTGATGGTGGCCACTGTTAAGCCTCCAGAACCTATACCTTTAAAATGGCTAACAGATAAGCCAATTTGGATAGAATAATGGCTGCTAAGCAAAGAGAAACTGGATGCTTTAGAGAAATTAGTTACTGAACAATTAGAAAATGGGCACATAGCTCCAACATTTTCCCCTTGGAATTCTCCAGTGTTCATAATTAAGAAAAAATCAGGTAAATGGAGAATGTTAACTGACTTAAGAGCCATCAATTCAGTTATACAACCTATGGAAACATAACAGCCAGGATTGCCTTCTCCTACTATAATTCCAAAAAATTGGCCTTTAATAGTCACAGATTTAAAAGACTGTTACTTTACTACCCTTTTAGCTGAGCAAGACTGTGAAAGGTTTGCATTTACAATTCCTGCAGTAAACAACCTGCAGCCTGCTAAGCGTTTTCGTTGTTTCACAGATGGGTCTAGTAATGGTAAAGCTTCTTATTCTGGATCAAAAGGTAAAGTTTTCCAGACACCCTATACTTCAGCTCAAAAAGCGGAGCTTGTATCTGTAATTGAGGTATTGACTGCTTTTGATATGCCTGTTAATGTGATTTCTGATTCTTCATACATGGTTCATTCCACACAGTGAATTGAAAATGCTCAGTTACGATTTCATACAGATGAACAACTAATAATAAAAACAAAAAAAGGGGGAGAAACAGGGATTACGGGTAGCCCATACACAAATGAATCTATCATTAACTTTCAAATTTTTGAGCCTGTCCAAAGGCCAGATGTTACCAGCAGCTGAACAGCATCTACAGAAACTAGCTGCAAAGACAGAAGCAGAACAACTGGTTTGGTGGAGAGATCCAATAACAAAAAGTTGGGAAATAGGTAAAATTATAACTTGGCATAGAGATTATGCTTGAGTTTCTCCAGGACCGAATCAACAACTGATTTAGATACCATCAAGACACCTGAAATTTTATCATGAGTCAGATGCTGAGGAAGAGATAAAAAGCACAATCATCATTGAAATTAGAGCTTCTGGCTGGGCGCGGTGGCTCATGCCTGTAATCCCAGCACTCTGGGAGACCGAGGTGGGCGGATCACAAGGTCAGGAGATCGAGACCATCCTGGCTAACACGGTGAAACCCCATCTCTAATAAAAATACAAAAAATTAGCTGGGTGAGGTGGCGGGCGCCTATAGTCCCAGCTACTCAGGAGGCTGAGGCAGGAGAATGGCATGAACCCGGGAGGCAAAACTTCAGGTTTTGCCAAGAATGACACTGTAAATGTAACAAAGCTTCTGTGCTTGTTAGTGAACACCAAATCAGCTACTCTCCTGTATTCGGAGATCAGGATGAAATGAAAAGAACAAGCAGGCCGGGTGCGGTGGCTCATGCCTGTAATGTCAACACTTTGGGAGGCTTAGGTGTGCGGATCACCCGAGGTTGGGAGTTTGAGACCAGCCTGACCAACATGGAGAAACCCCGTCTCTACTAAAAATGCCAAATGTGCTGGGCATGGTGGCACAAGCCTGTAATCTCAGCTTTGGAGGCTGAGGCAGGATAAGTGCTTAAACCTGAGAGGCGGAGGTTGCTGTGAGGCAATATTGCACCATTGCACTCCAGCCTGGGCAACAAGAGTGAAACTCCATCTCAAAAAAATAAAAAATAAAAAAAGACCCCCAACCTTGTCTAGACTGGGGGTTTCAGTTTCACCCCAGGGGAGTCCTGGTTGGGTTAGAATCCTGAACCTGGTTTGAGTTCAAACCCTAAAGAATAAAGGGAATAAAGGCTGTAGCTACTGAGCTACTCAATCTGGTCTGGTTCTGGCTTTTGTGTGTCTATCTGTATTTTTGGTCTAAATATTTGGCCCAACAGAGGTTAAAGGCTTTGATGTTCTCAGCAAAAGCCTTGTGAGATTTCTAGTTTATCTGTGTGCTCAACTGGAACAAAGAGACTCAATAAACTAGAAAAACCTAAAGAAAATGGCACACGTGAAAAATTGAGAGCCAACTCCTGTTTGTTGTTCTGTCCACCTCCGTCTCTCACTCCTCCTTCTGCCTTTGCTGTGGTCCCATGGTGTTTCTGTCTTTCCGGGGACCTGAGATTCAGTGTAGGAGTGAAGTCCATGATTTTAAAGCCTTCATGTCTCTGCTTTTTAACTCTGCCTGCTTTGCTGAGCTCTTATAATGAGAAATAAACGATTCAGAACAGGAACAACAGGGCATCAGAAAAACAACTTCAGGCAGCGCTCCGGCAAGTACCTCCCTGGAGGGGAAGGGCTTACTAAAGGAGATTTAATCTTGAAAAGGCCAAAATGAGAAGCTCTAACCTTAAGCTTGCTAGGTTTTCTGGGACTCGAGCTGGCTATATATTATGGACCATTCTAGCCACACACACACACACACACACACACACTTTTTTGAGACAGAGTCTTGCTCTGTTGCCCACGCTGGAGTGCAGTGGTGCGCTCTTGGCTCACTGCAATCTCCACTTCCCAGGTTCGAGCAATTCTCCTGTCTCAGCCTCCTGAGTAGCTGCGATTACAGGTGTACGCCAACATACCCGGCTAATTTTTGTGGTTTTAGTAGAGATGAGGTTTCACTATGTTTACCAGGCTGGTCTCAAACTCCTGATTTCAAGTGATCCACCCACCTTGGCCTCCCAAACTGCTGGGATTACAGGCATGAGCCACTGTGCCCAGCCTATATATATTTATATTTATATTTATATTTATATTTATATTTATATTTTTTTTCTTTTTCTTTTTGACACACAGTCTTGCTCTGTTGCCCAGGATGGAGTATGGTGGTACAATCGCGGCTCACTGCAACCTCCACCTCCCAGATTTGAGCGATTATCCTGCCTCAGCCTCCTGAATAGCTAGGACTACAGGTGCACACCACCACACCCAGTTAATTTTTGTATTTTCAGTAGAGATGGGGTTTTGTCACGTTGGCCAGGCTGGTCTCAAACTCCTGGCCTCAAGTGATCCACCTGCCTCAGCCTCCCATAGTGTTGGGATTACATGAATGAGCCACTTCACCTGGTCTCTAGTGCACACTTTAAACCTGATGGCCAAATTACATGAAAGAAAATTCAGAACTCAAATAGTTACTATTTTAAAAAACCCTAAAATGAAAAATTCTCAGTTCTTTTGCCTATCTTTTTTTTTCCCTGCCTACTTTGAATCTGCTGATTTGCCTACTGGTGTTGAGATAAGACTTACTGTCTGTGGTGTTACCAATTCAAGGTTACTTGGCTGAAGAAAAACAAAAGAATGAAACCATTTTTTATTTTTTTCTCTTTTTGAGACAAGGTCTTACTCTAAGGTCTTACTCTGTTCCCCAGACCGGAGTGCAGTAGTGGGATCATAGCTCACTGTTATCTCAACCTCCCAGGCTCAAGCAATCCTCCTGCCTCATCCTCTCTAGTAGCTGGGACAATAGGCATTCACCACCACGCCTGGCAATTTTTTATCTTATTCTTAGTAGAGATTGGATCTCACTCTGTTGCCCAGGCTGGTCTCAAACTCCTGAGCTCAAGTGATCCTCTTGCCTCAGCCTCTCAAAGTGCTGGGATACAGGCATGAACCACTGTGCCCAGACAAAAGAGTTCTTTTATAATGCAAATAATTTAAAAAGTATTGATAAAATAAAAATAGAAATGTCTTCAGAATTGTCAGCATACATTTTTGACTGTGTTTTATATTTACATTTGCTAGATATTTTAAGGTGCTAGGGTTTGGCATGAAGGATATAAAGCTATAAACACAGGAAAAAAAGAATATTTGTTTATGTGATTTTTTAAATACATAAGACCAATGTAATACGGTTTGTTGAACAAAAATAATGGAATTTTCTGAGTTATTGGTAAAATACCCTTGTATTTAACTTTGAAATCCTCACTTATGTGAACACCTGATATTCACAGGCTATAACATGGTTAACAAGAAAATAACCTAGAAATGATGACTAGCTTTGTCTAATACCTCAGTTCTCACAAATACTCTAGATAAACTGTCAAAAATAAGTAAATGTAAATGGATAAATGTCTATACAAGACATTTTAATGTATTTTTGAAATTTTTTTGAGCCAATGTCTCTGCCTGTCACCCAGGCTGAAGTGCAGTGGCATGATCACAGCTCATTGCAACCTTGACATCCTGCACTCAAGGGATCCTCCCACCTCAACCTCCCAAGAAGCTGTTAATTACAGGCATGCAACACCATGGTCAGCTAACTTTTATTTTTTTTGTAGAGTCAGCATCTCGCTATTTGCTCAGGCTGGTCTCACGATACTCCTGCCTTGGCCTCCTAAAGTGTTGGGATTACAGGTGTGAGCCACCATGCCCAGCCTATTTTTGAAATTTTAGTTATGTTAAATTAAATAATAGATACTCATTAAATATCTGGGTTATTTCCAATTTAAAACTTATGTTTTAGCCCAGGCACTATGGCTCACGCCTGTAATCCCAACACTTTGGAAGGCCAAGGCGGGTGGCTCACCCGAGGTCAGGAGCTCAAGACCAGCCTGATCAACATGGTGAAACCCCATCTCTACTAAAAAATACAAATAATTAGCCAGGTGTGGTTGTGGGTTCCTGTAATCCCAGCTACTCGAGAGGCTGAAGCAGGAGAATTGCTTGAACCTGGGGGGCGGAGGTTGCAGTGAGCTGAGATCACACCATTGCACTCCAGCCTGGGCAACAAGAACAAAAATCCACCTTAAAAAATATGTTTTAGGAACACATAATTCTAAATTATGAAATCATTCTCATATGTAAGATACTGCTATATGACAATTCAAGATTTCTTTCTTCCTAAGTTTTTTATTAAAATAAGGGTTACTAAGTGTTAATATCTTGGTAGATATATGTGATTAAGACTACTAGATACAAGAGAAACAATTCTGTATGCAAAATGTATACGGGTTTTTGTTTCAGAGAAAGTAAATTCGCTTAGAGATTTTTAAGGATTATTTTAAATTGAAGGAATAAAAAAGATAGATAAAATTAAATGTGTATAAAAAGTTGGGAAAGATGGAAAAAATTATACAAGGTTATTAAAAGTTTATGTAAATCTTACCTCGAGGTCAAAACTGATTGAGATCAGATAGATTGTTTATAAAGTTTATTTAAATTAGCTGTAATATTAAAAACATAGTGATAAAAAACAAAAAATTTTGGTTAAAACAACAAGGTTTTCTTAATGCATTTATTTGCTCATAATAAGAGGTAATAAATATTGACTTTTAATCCTGATATCTGTTACTATAAAATCTTTTCAGATTTGTATATCAGAAGTTCAACGTTTCCTGTACTTTCATGTTACACATGACTCACAGATCACATCATTGTCTTCTGTTTCTTCTTGAGAAGGAATAAAAGGCTTGGGTTTCCTGCTTGGCTGGGATGATAACTCCTTCAGCTTTTTCATCAGGTCTAATTTTGTACTCTTGGCTTTTAAATATGTCTTAATTACTTCATGTAACCAGGATACAGCAGGAAACTTCCATGCTATCATTGTGAGCTATGGATCCCCACTTCTCTATGCTCTGGTTTTCCTGTTTACATTCCTCTGTAATATTATGCTCACTCATGACCCTGGACACACTCTTTCTATGTGTAATTAAATTCAAGTCTCCTTGTCATCGGTTTGACTTCCAAGTGATTTAAATTAGCTTCCTATAAGAAGACACAATTATGCCACAGGAGCTTTTACCCTTTAAATGACTGGCCTGTAATAAAGATTTTAGGTTTTATCAAGATAATCCATGTGTTGCCTTTATTGTTTTTTTAATTACTTGGGAAAACTGAGGGTTTTCAGTTTTCACATCCATGTAACCTTCTATGTTGCTTTTGATGTCTTTTGGTTGTCATGCTAATTAAATGAATGTTATTTTAAAATGACATGTGGCTGTGTGCAGCGGCTCTTGTCTGTAATTCCAGCCCTTTGGGAGGCCAAGGTGGGTGGATCACTTGAGCCCAGGAGTTCAAGTCCAGCCTGGGCAAAATGGCAAAACCCCATATCTACTAAAAATACAAAAGCTAGCTAGGTGTGGTAGCAAGTGCTCATAGTCCTGGCTACTTGGGAGACTAAGGTGGAGGATCAACTGAACCTGGGAGATTGAGGCTGCAGTGAGCCATGATTTCACCACTGCACTCCAGCCTGGGCAACAGGGTGAGACCCTGTCTCAAAAAAATAATAAAATAAAAAACAATAAACTGCCATTCCGTTTTGGTCAAATGTTTTCAATTTTTTGACAACTTTGCTAAAACTTAGTTGATAACATTGTATGGGAAGCATTGCCAAAAGATAAGTAACACTAAATCTTCTTTTTTTTTTCTCTGAGACAGAATCTTGCTTTGTCACCCAGGCTGGAGTGCTGTGGCATGATCTAGGTTCACTGCAAATTCTGCCCCAAGGTTCAAGCAATCCTTCTGCCTCAACCTCCCAAGTAGCTGGGACTACAGACACGTGCCACCATGCCCGGCTAATTTTGTATTTTTAGTAGAGACAAGATTTCTCCATGTTGGCCAGGCAGTTGTCGAACTCCTGACCTCTGATGATCTGTCTAACTTGGCCTCCCAAAGTGTTGGGATTACAGGCATGAGCCACTGTGCCCAGCTTAAATCTTCTTTTGGTTACTTTTATAGGTATGTTATTAATATAAATATTTTAAAAGTTATATAAATTATAAAAATCTAATAGGGTTTCAGTCATAATTTTGATGATGTTAAATATTTTCTAAAGTTGTATGTGTATAGATATATTAATAATATAAATATTCTAAAGATTATATAAAATTTGTGGAAGTCTGATGGATCTGATGCGTTGCCATCAGTCATGATTCTGGCTGTTATCTTAAAATGCTACATATAATACAAATAACTAAATTTTCTCGAGATTTGAGAACTTCCACTGGATTTTAACCAACGGCTATTCTAAGTTTTTGTCATCCACGTTGATTGATTAAAGTTCTTCTCTAAAACCCTTTACAGGCCGGGCACGGTGCTGGAGGCCATGCAGGGCATGGTGCTGGGCATGGTGCAGGGCATGGTGGCTCAGGCGTGTAAATATCCCAGCACTTTGCAAGGCTGAGGTGGGTGAATTGCTTAAACTAAGAAGTTTGAAAGCAGCCTAGGCAACATGGTAAAATCCTGTCTCTACAAAAATACAAAAATTAGCCAGGCATGATGGTGCATGCCTATGGTCCCAGCTACTTCGGAGGGTGAGGTAGGAGGATGGCTTGAGTTTGGGAGGGAGAGATTGCAGTGAACCAAGATCATGCCACTGCACTCCATCCTGAGTGATAGAGCCAGACCGTGTCTCAAAAAAAAAAGCCTTTACAATCAGCTATCATCTAAATTACTTTTAATGGAAAGGATTCTGACAAGTTCTCTTAAATATGGTTTCAGATAACTTTGTGGATCAAACCATTGGACTAGGAAAATCTTCCAGGACTCTAAAAAGCTGAATGAGAATTTCTAATTGAAATCAAGCAAAACACAAAAACCTGAATGAGAATTGCTATTTGAAATCAAGCAGAACAAGATTTAGTTACATGGGACTGAACTTATAAAAGAAGGAAAAGATTTTATCCATGGCCCTTCCATTAGAAACATTGTTGATCCTCTTTATGTTTTGTTTTCCAAAGTCAAGAATTTTTTTCTTTTCAGCTATTTTTAACTTACAATACATTAGATAAACTACATTGTGAACAAAAATTTGACCCATTTATCTGTCTCTCTAGGTGATTTCTCCAGAATTCAGAAGCCATTCGTGAGCATTCTTATATTATGGCAATATAATTATTTGCATAATTTCAATAAGAATCTGTTTTTGGTAAAAAGATTCAATTGGAGACACTGTTTTTTCAAGGCTTTAACTCGAAAGGCAGATACAACCAGACCACTTTAAGGAATTGAGGTTGACTTTATAGCACCAATACAAAGCCCCTTAGAATGACTGGCTTGATGTCCTGTATACAAAGGTCCTTTACAAAGTTGCTATTCTTGTGGTAAGAAATAAAGAATGTCACTTTCTGATGGGCCAGGAACCTCAAGATATTTGGGGACCTTGAGAAGAGAGGACTACACCCATTCATTAAAGTATTACAGGAGAGCTGGCAAGATGTCTGAATAGGAACAGCTCTGGCCTGCAGCACCCAATGAGAACAACACAGAAGTCAGGTGGTTCATGCATTTCCAACTGAGCCTCCACTGGTGATACCCAGGCAAACAGGGTCTGGAGTGGACCTCCAGCAAACTCGAGCAAACCTGCAGCAGAGGGACCTGACTGTTAGAAGGAAAATTAACAAACAGAAAGGAATAGTATCGACATCACCAACATCAAAGACCAAAGGTAAATAAATCCACAAAGATGGGGAGAAACCAGTGCAAAAATGATGAAAACTCCAAAAGTCAGAATGCCTCTTCTCCTCCAGAAGATCACAACTCCCCGCCAGCAAGGGAACAAAACTGGACAGACAATGAGTTTGACGAATTGACAGAAGTAGGCTTCAGAAGGCAGGTAATAACAAACTCCTCCGAGCTAAAGGAGCATGTTCTAACCCAATGCAAGGAAGCTAAGAGCCTGAAAAATAAAGGTTAGACGAATTGTTAACTAGAATAACCAGTTTAGAGAAGAATATAAATGACCTGATGGAGCTGAAAAACCCAGCACAAGAACTTCATGAAGCATACACAAGTATCAATAGCTGAATCAATCAATCAGGAGAAAGGATATCAGAGATTGAAGATCAACTCAATGAAATAAAGCAAGAAGACAAGATTAGAGAAAAAAGAGTGAAAAGAAATGAACAAAGCCTCCGAGAAATAGAGGACTATGTTAAAATACTGAATCTACGTTTGATTGGTGTACCTGAAAGTGACAGAAAGAATGGAACCAAGTTGGAAAAAACTCTTAAGGATATTATCCAGGAGAACTTCCCTAACCTAGCAAGACAGGCCAACATTCAAATTCAGGAAATACAGAGAACACCACTAAGATACTCCTGAAGAAGAGCAACCCCAAGACACAAAATCATCAGATTCACCAAGGTGGAAATGAAGGAAAAAAATATTAAGGGCAGCCAGAGAGAAAGGTTGAGTTACAAACAAAGGGAAGCCCATCAGACTAACAGTGGATCTCTTGGCAGATAGCCTACAAGCCAGAAGAGAGTGGGGGCCAATATACGACATTCCTAAAGAAAAGAATTTTCAAGCCAGAATTTCATATCCAGCCAAACTAAGCTTCATAATTGAAGGAGAAATAAAATCCTTTACAAGCAAATGCTGAGAGATTTTGTCACCACCAGGACTGCCTTACAAGAGCTCCTGAAGGAAGCACTAAACACGGAAAGGAACAACTGGTAACAGCTACTGCAAAAACATACCAAATTATAAAGACCATTGACACAATGAAAAAACTGCATCAACTAATGAGCAAAATAACCAGCTAGTATCATAATGACAGGATCAAATTCACACATAACAATATTAACCTTAAATGTAAATGAGCTAAATGTCCCCAGTTGAAAGACACAGTTTGGCAAATTGGATAAAGAGTCAAGACCCATCAATGTGTTGTATTCAGGAGACCCATCTCATACACATAGGCTCAAAATAAAGGGATGAAGAAACATTTACCAAGCAAGTGGAAAGCAACAAAAGGCAGGGGTTGCAATCCTAGTTTCTGATAAAACAGATCTTAAGCCAACAAAGATAAAAAGAGACAAAGAAGGGCATTACATAATGGTAAAGGGATCAATGCAACAAGAAGAGCTAACTATCCTAGACATATATGCACCCAATACAGGAGCACTCAGATTCATAAAGCAAGTTCTTAAAGACCTACAAAGAGACTTAGGCTCCCACACAATAATAGTGGAAGACTTTAACACTCCACTGTCAATATTAGATAGATGAGACAGAAAATTAACAAGAATATCCAGGACTTGAACTCAGCTCTGGACCAAGTGGACCTAAAAGATATCTACAGAACTCTCCACCCCAAATCAACAGAATGTACATTCTTCTCAGCACCGCATTGTACTTATTCTAAAATTGACCACATAATTGGAAGTAAAACACTCCTCAGGAAATGCAAAAGAATGGAAATCATAACAAACAGTCTCTCAGACCACAATGCATTCAAATTAGTATGCAGGATTAAGAAACTCACTCAAAACCTCACAACTACATGGAAACTGGGCAACCTGCTCCTGAATGACTACTGGGTAAATAACGAAATGAAGGCAGAAATAAAGATGTTCTTCAAAACCAATGAGAACAAAGACACAACGTACCAGAATCTCTGGGACACATTTAAAGCAGTGTGTAGAGGGAAATTTATAGCACTAAATGCCCACAAGAGAAAACAGGAAAGATCTAAAATTGACACCTTAACATCAAAATTAAAAGAACTAGAGAAGAAAGAACAAACAAATTCAAAAGCTAGCAGATGACAAGACATAAATAAGATCAGAGCAGAATTGAACGAGATAGAGACATGAAAAACCCTTCAAAAAATCAATGAATCCAGGAGCTGGTTTTTTGAAAAGATCAACAAAACAGACCACTAGCCAGACTAATAAAGAAGAAAAGACAGAAGAATCAAATAGATGCAATAAAAAATGATTAAGGGGATATCACCACTGATCCCACAGAAATACAAATTATCATCAGAGAATACTACCAAGACTAAACCAGGAAGAAGTCAAATTCCTGAATAGACCAATAACAAGTTCTGAAATTGAGGCATTAATCTATAGCCTACCAACCAAAAAAAGTCCAGGACCAGACGGATTCACAGCCAGATTCTACCAGAGGTACAAAGAGGAGCTGGTACCATTCCTTCTGAAACTATTCCAAACAATAGAAAAAGAGAATCCTCCCTAACTCATTTTATGAGGCCAACACAACAAAAAAAAGGAAATTTTAGGCCAATATCCCTGATGAACATCAATGCAGAAATCCTGAATAAAATACTGGAAAATTGAATCCAGCAGCATATCAAAAAGCTTGTCCACCATGACCAAGTTGGCTTCATCCCTGGGATGCAAGGCTGGTTCAACATGCAAATCAATAAATGTAATCCATCACATAAACGGAATCAATGACAAAAACTACATGATTATCTCAATAGATGCAGAAAAGGCCTTTGACAAAATTCAACAGCCCTTCATGCTAAAAACTCTCAATAAACTGGTATTGATGGAACGTATCTCAAAATATGAAGTGCTATTTATGGCAAACCCACAGCCAATAACATACTGAATGTGCAAAAACTGGAAGCATTCCCTTTGAAAATCAGCACAAGACAAGGATGCCCTCTCTCACTACTCCTATTCCACATAGTGTTGGAAGTTCTGGCCAGGATAATCAGGCAAGAGAAAGAAATACATGGTGTTCAATTAGGAAAAGAAGAAGTCAAATTGTCTCTGTTTGCAGATGACATGATTATATATTTAGAAAACCCCATCGTCTCAGCCCAAAATCTCCTTAAGCTGATAAGCAACTTCAGCAAAGTTTTAGGATAAAAAATTAATGTGCAAAAATCACAAGCTTTCTTATACACCAATAACAGACAAACAGAGAGCCAAACTATGAGTGAACTCCCATTCTCCATTGCTACAACAAGAATGAAATACCTAGGAATACAACTTACAAGGATGTGAAGGACCTCTTCAAGGAGAACTATAAACCACTCCTCAAGGAAACAAGAGAGGACAAAAACAAATGAAAAAACATTCCATGCTCATCAATAGGAAGAATCAATATCGTGAAAATGGCCATACTACCCAAAGTAATTTATAGATTCACTGCTATCCCCATTAAACTCTATTGACTTTCTCCACAGAATTGGAAAAATATATTTTAAATTTCATATGGAATCAAAAAGAGCCCGAATAGCCAAGACAATCCTAAGCAAAAAGAACAAAGCTTCAAGCATCATGCTACCTGACTTCAAACTATACTACAAGGCTACGATAAACAAAAGAGCATGGTACTGGTACCAAAACAGATATATAGATCAAAGGAACAGAACCGAACCCTCAGAAATAACACCACATATCTACAACCATCTGATCTTTGACAAACCTGAGAAAAACAAGCACTGGGGAAAGGATTCCCTATTTAATAAATGGTGTTGAGAAAACTGGCTAGCCTTAGGCAGAAAGCTGAAACTGGATCCCTTCCTTACACCTTATATAAAAATTAACTCAAGATGAATTAAAGACTTAAATCTAATACCTAAAGCCGTAAAAACCCTAGAGGAAAACCTAGGCAATACCATTCAGGACATAGGCATGGGCAAAGACTTCATGACTAAAACACGAAAAACAATGGCAACAAAAACCAAAATTGAAAAATGGGACCTAATTAAACTAAAGAGTTTCTGGACAGCAAAAGAAACTATGAGAGTGAAAGGGCAACCTACGAAATGGGAGAAAATTTTTGCAATCTATCCATCTGACAAAGGCCTAATATCCAGAATCTACAAAGAACTTAAACAAATTTACAAGAAAGAACAATCCCATCAAAAAGTGGGCAAAGGATGTGAACAGACACTTCTTAAAAGAGGACAATTATGCAACCAACAAACATATGAAAAAAAGCTCATCATCACTAGTCATTAGAGAAATGCAAATCAAAACCACAATGAGATGCCATCTCATGCCAGTTAGAATGGCAATCATTAAAAAGTCAGGAAACAAAAGATACTGGAGAGGATGCGGAGAAATAGGATTGCTTTTACACTGTTGGTGGGAGTGTAAATTAGTTCAACCATTGTGGAAGACAGTGTGGCTATTCCTCAAGGATCTAGAACTAGAAATGTCATTTGGCCCAGCAATCCCATTACTGGGTATATACCCAAAGGATTATAAATCATTCTACCATAAAGACACATGCACACGTATGTTTATTGCAGGACTGTTCACAATAACAAAGACTTGGAACCAACCCAAATGCCCATCAATTATAGACTGGATAAAGAAAATGTGGCACATATACACCATGGAATACTATGCAGCCATAAAAAAGGATGAGTTCATGTCCTTTGTAGGGACATGGATGAAGCTGGAAACCGTCATTCTCAGCAAACTAACACAAGAATAGAAAACAAAACACCACATGTTCTCACTCATAAGTGGGAGTTGAACAACGAGAACACAAGGACACAGGGAGGGGAACATCACACACTGGGGCGTGTTGGGGGTTGGGGGCGGGGGGAGGGATAGCATTAGGACAAATACCTAATATAGGTGATGGGTTGATGGGTGCAGCAAACCACCACAGCACATGTATACCTATGTAACAAACCTCAGCATTCTGCACGTGTACCCCACAACTTAAAGTATAATAAAAAAGTAGGTTAAAAAAAGTATTACAGACTCAGTATGATGCAAATCTTTGACTTGGCTAGCCTCAAGGCTTTTAAAAATCTAAGATTCCTTATTAGAAAGTTCCAACAAAGCCAATTTTAAGAAGCCTATATGGTCAATAAATATTCTTGCTGCACTTTATGCAAATAATCAGACCAGGTATGATAAGACTAAAACTTATTTTGCACAGAAATTTGTCCTACTATGGTTTGTCTTTGATAAAATGATGGACTAGAGAGAGAAAATTCATGTTTCAAATGAAAACTGTGACATATGCTATTAGATTCCAGCCCTGATCATTCTTTTCCGAGTTTTTATTATTTGCCTATAATTTGGGCTGAATCCTGAATTATTTCCTGGGTCCAAGTGTTCCCTAGTGAACCCAGATAAAATATATTTTTAAAAAAACTTGTTTTATCCTGTCAGGAATGAGATGTATTTTTGAAGGACTACTTAAACTAGCAATTACAATTCGATTATTGTGATTATAGAATCTCGGGATTTCTCTTCCTTCTTGTCAAGGTCTTTACCTGATGTTTGTCTCATTAAAAAAAAAAAAAGAAATCAGACTGATTACACTCTACTCAAGACTGAAGACATGTACTTTAACCTGTCTCTGTTACCAGTAAACGAAAGCCTTAAATTTCAGAATCCGTCAGGGACCCTGTGTGGTCCCTGGATCAAGCACACATGGGCTTATGAATGTATTGACCGCTGGCATATGAGAGGTAATTGTCTATTAGGTTATGTGGCTCTTCCTCTTCCTATTTATAACTCCAATGTTTCTGAACGCTGAAGTAGTTCATCGAAATTATTTTCCAGGATTAGACAAACCATACCTGCAAACCAAGGAGATGAATTTTGGCCTATGTTTGGCAGAAATCTCTTGCCATGGTGGGGAGTAACCTCTCATGAACGTATAATTAGAAATCTGTCAACCACTCTAGGTAACTTAGCAAATGAACTAGCTGAAGCCATAGCTACCAAATAAAGATCTTCAGACTCTTTAGCCAGGATAGTCATGGATTACGGAATAACTTTAGGCTACATAGTGGTGAAACAGGGAGAAACTCATATGGCAGCTAGCTAACACATCATGTTGTGTTTAGATCCATACATCTTCTGAAGTTGAAACACATGTAAAAAAATAGACGATATGGGAATTAATTATGACAAATCCTAGGGAAGAGGCTGAAACAGCTGTAACACAAACAGGGCTGAGACATGCCCCTTGCTCGCCACATTGTGGGCAAAGAGAAGGAAAGAAGAGCTATGGCCCTTTGGGGAGCCCAGACCTGGGAGCTCCCCGAGCCAGAGCTGTGATTCCTTCTTTGGGGCCTTTGGTTCCTGATATCTCCAAGCTTCTGGGTGCCACTGTGTTCCCAGTGTGCCAGCTGTGGAAGCTTCTTGAGGTGCCCGTGGTCCAGCCAGAGCCTTGTGGAGAGCTGGCGCCTGTGTTGGCACCTGGAGCTACCTGCTCCACTTCAGCAGCCAGCAAATCTGACTGCACAGTGGCCAGACCCCATGCTCACTCACACACCCCTTGCCACTCCATGCAGTCTCCCTTGGCAGGCATGGGATCCAACGTGGTAGCATGAGCAGAGCACAGCCTGCCAGGCTGAGTGTGTGGGGCCCAGCAAAACTCAGGCAAAGGTGCCACCAGTCATAGAGGTTTCGGTCTAGAAAAGTAACACCCCAAAGATCCCATAACACCGCTACTCTTCCCAGCCTCTGGAAACTCTCAGTCTACTCTCTATCTTGATGAGTTCAATTGTTTTAATTTTTAGCTCCCACAAATGAGTGAGAACATGCGAAGTCTGTCTTTCTGTGCCTGGCTCATTGTACTTAACATAATGTCCTCTAGTTCCATCCATGTTGTTGCAAATGACAGAATCTTATTCTTTTTCATGGCCGAAGAGTACTCCATTGTGTATATGTACTACATTTTCTTTATCCCTTCATCTGTTGATGCACACTTAGGTTGCTTCCAAATCTTGGCTATTATGAATAGTGCTGAAATAAATATGGGAATGCAGATATCTCTTTGATATACTAATTTTCCCTCTCTTGGGTATATACCCAGCAGTGGGATTGCTGGATCATATGATAGTTCTATTTTTAATTTTTTGAGGGACCTCCATACTGTTCTCCATAGTGAATATATTAATTTACATTCCCACCAACAGAGTAAGAGTGTTCCCTTTTCCCCACATTCTTGAAAGCATTTGTTATTGCCTGTCTTTTGCATAAAAGCCATTTTAATGGGGTAAGATGATGTATTTTTGTAGTTTTGATTTCAATTTCTGTCATGATCAATGATATTGAGCAACTTTTCATATACCTATTTGACATTTATACATGTTCTTTTTTGTTTTTGCTCATTTTTTGAGACAGGGTCTCACTCTGTCACCCAGGCTGGAGTGCAGTGGTATGATCATGGCTTAATGTAGTGTTGACTGCCAGGGTTCAAGCAATCCTCCCACCTCAGCCTCCTGAGTAGCTGGGACCACAGGCATGCATCACCATGCCCAGGTAGTTTTTAAAATTATTTGCTATGTTGATCAGGTTGTTCTTGAACTCCTGGGCTCAAGTGGCCCACCCGTCTTGGCTCCCCAAAGTGCTGGAATTACATGTGTCAGCCACTACGCCTGACCTGTGTGCCTTCTTTTGAGAACTGTCTGTTCAGATCTTTTGCCCATTTAAATAATTAGATTGTTAGTTTTTTTTCTTATAGAGTTGTTTGAGCTCCTTATATATTCTGGTTATTAATCCCTTGTCAGTTATATAGTTTGCAAATATTTTCTTCCATTCTGTGGATTGTCTTTTCACTTTGTCCATTGTTTTCTTTACTGTGCAGAAACTTTTGAACTTGATGTGATACCACTTGTTCATTTTTGCTTTGGTTGCCTGAGCTTTTGGAGTATTACTCAAGAAATCTGTTCCAAGAGCAATTTCCTGGAGAGTTTCCTTAATGTTTTCTTTCAGTAGTTTCGTGTCTTTGATTTAAGTCTTTAACCCATTTGGATTTGATTTTTGTATATAGTGCAAGAGAGGTTTCTAGTTTAACTATTCTGCCAATGACTTGGGAGGCCGAGGTGGGCGGATCATGGAGGCAGGAGATCGAGACCATCCTGGCTAACACGGTGAAACTCTGTCTCTACTAAAAGTACAAAAAAAATTTAGCCAGGCGTGGTGGTGGGCACCTGTACTCTCAGCTACTTGGGAGGCTGAGGAGGAGAATGGTGTGAACCCGGGAGGTGGAGCTTGCAGTGAGCCCAGATCGCGCCACTGCATTCCAGCGTGAGCAACAGAGCTAGACTCCATCTCAAAAAAAAAAAAAAATCTGCCAATGAATATCTAGTTTTCCCAGCACAATTTGTTGAAGAGACTGTCCTCTCCCCCATGTATATTCTTGGCACCTTCATTGAAAATGAGTTAATTGTAAATGTATGGATTTATTTCTGGGTTCTCTATTCTGTTCCATTGGTCTATGTGTCTGTTTTATGCCAGTACCATGCTGTTTTGTTTATAATTTCTCTGTACTATAATTTAAAGTCAGGTGATGTGATTCTTCCAGTTTTGTTCTTTTTGCTCAGGATGGCTTTTGGTATTCTGGGTCTTTTATGGTTTCATGTAAATTTTAGGATTTTTTTTCTATTTCTGTGAAGAGAGTTATTAGTATTTCAATAGGGATTGCATTGAATCTGTAGATTGCTTTGTGAAGTATGGGTATTTTAACAATATTTACTCTTCCAATAAATGAACATGGACTATCTTTCCATTTTTTTTGGTGTCCTCTTTAATTTTTTTGCATCTATGTTTTATAGTTTTCATTGTAGAGATCTTTCACTTCTTCTGTTATGTTTATTCCCAGTTATTTTATTTTATTTGTAGCTATTGTAAATGGGATTACATTCTTGATTTTCTTCTTTAGATTGTTCATTTTTGTCATTTAGAAATGCTACTGACTTTTGTAGTTTGATTTTGTATGCTGTGACTCTGAATTTGTTGATCAGTTCTAATAGTTTTTGGTGGAGTCCTTAGGTTTTTCCAAATATAAGAGCTAATCATCTGCAAACAAGAAAACAGTAATAATTTTACTTCTTTCCAATTTGGATCCCTTTTATTGATTTTCTCTTGTCTGAATTGCTCTAGCTAGGACTTCCAGTACTATGTTGAGTAACAGTGTTGGAAGTGGACATTCTTGTCTTGTTCCAGATCTTAGAAGAAAGGCTTTCAGCTTTTCCCTGTCCAGGATGATACTGGCTGTGGGTCTGTTGCGTATGGTTTTTATTGTGTTGTGGTATGTTCCTTCTATATCTAGTTTTTTTTGAGGGTTTCTTTTTATCACAGGGATGTTGAATTTTATTAAATGCTTTTCAGCATCAATTGAAATTATCATATGGTTTTTGTCCTTCATTCTGTTGATATGATGTGTCACATTGATTGATTTGCATACGTTGAACCATGTTGGCATCCTCGGGATAAATCCCACTTAGACATGATGAGTGGTCTTTTTCATAGGATGAGTTTGGAAATACTACAGCCTTCTCTGTTTTTTGGAATAGTTTGAGTAGGATTGATAGTAATTCTGCCTTCAATGCTTGGTAAAATTAATCAGTGAAGCCAGTGAAGCCATTGAATCCAGGCTTTTCTTTGCTAGGAGATGTTTTATTATGGCTTCAATTTCATTTATCCATTTCTTCTAGGTTTTTTTTTTTTTGAGATGGAATCTTGCTCTGTCACCCAGGCTGCAGCATGGTACAATCTCAGCTCACTGCAACCTCTGCCTCCCAGGTTCAAGTGATTTTCCTGCCTCAGCCTCTAGAGTAGCTGGAAGTACAGGTGCATGCCAGCATGCCTGGCTAATTTTTGTATTTTTAGTAGAGATGGGGTTTCACCATGTTGACCAGGCTGGTCTTGAACTACTGACCTCAGGTGATCACCTGCCTTGGCTTCCCAAAGTGTTGGGATTACAGGCATGAGCCACGGTGCCCAGCCACTTCTTCCAGGTTTTTCAATTTACTGGAATATAGTTGGTCTTAATAGTTTCTAATGATTCTTTGAATTTCCACAGTATCAGTTATAGTGCCTCCTTTTTAATCTCTGGTTTTATGTATTTGAATCTTCTCTCTTTTTTCTTAGTCTGGTTAAGTGTTTGTTGATTTTGTTGGTCTTTTAAAAATATTAACTTTTCATTTCATTGATATTTTATATTTTTAAATTTCAATTTCATTTATTTCTGCTCCGATCTTTGCTATGTTTCCTTCTACTAATTTTGGTTTTGGCTTGCTCTTGCTTTTCTAATTATTTAAGATGCATTATTAGGTTGTTTATTTGAAGCTTTTCTACTTTTTTTGATGTAGGTGCTTTTTTCTATAAACTTACCTCTTAGTACTGTAGTACTGTTTTTATTGTATCCCATAGTTTTTTTTTTTTTTTTTTGAGATGGAGTCTCGCTCTGTTGCCCAGGCTGGAGTGCAGTGACGTGATCTCGGCTCACTGCAAGCTCCGCCACCCAGGTTCACGCCATTCTCCCGCCACAGCCTCCCGAGTAGCTGGGACTACAGGCGCCAGCCTTCACGCCCGGCTAATTTTTGTTTTTTGTATTTTTAGTAGAGACGGGGTTTCACCGTGTTAGCCAGGATGGACTCAATCTCCTGACCGTATGATCCGCCCGCCTCGGCCTCCCAAAGTGCTGGGATTACAGGCATGAGCCAGTGCGCCCGGCCTGTACCCCAGGTTTTGGTTTGACTTTAAACTTTTTCTTTTCTCGAAAACTCAGTGTCATGGTACCGGCTTCTTGTGCTTTGGGCAGTGAGACCCTTTTACTTGATAACAGTGGTAGCTGGGACAAGTTGGCAATGTAAATAAATAAACAGCATCTAGATTGGAAAGGAAGAAGTACAGTTATCTTTATGTACAGATGACATGATCTTGCATTTAGAAAATCGTAAGAAATTTACTAAAACGTATTAGGACTCATGAACAAATTTAAGAATGTAACACTATATAAGATTGGTATACAAAAATAAATGTATTTCTTTACCAAGAAATCAAGAATCCAAAAATGGAATTACAAAAATAAATCTTGTTACAATAGAATTAAAGCTGGGGAAGCTTAAACTTGAACACTAAAAACTACAATACATGGTTAGCGTTGGAAACACCCAGATACCATCCCTGAGCCTTCTCTCCTTGGCTCTGAGGGCTTTACCTTCACGGGGTGAGGAAAGGGGTTGCATTCTTGGTTTTACATTATATTAGGTGGGTTCGGGTTGAGGTATCTGCAATTCAAATGAGTATTACAATCTCTACTTTTATGGATAAGAGACTAAGGCCCACCAAGAGAGGGAATGACAGTCCATATCCTGGAAGGCGAATTGTCAGACACTGATTTCCGCTATTTAACCCCTGCCAATCATCATGTATTTAAAGGATCCCCAGATACCATACCAATAGGTGTTCAAGAGAGAGGCCTGTAATTTAGGCGTCTGAGAAAACAAGGCTAGAGATTCCAATATTGGAGACAACAGGGCTCTGGGAAGATTAAGTTTGAGTTTTCTGGATCTGCAGAATAGAGTCACTGAGGACCAATTGCAAGATCAGAGGAGATGAAAGAACAAGTCAGGGCATGCTTAGGAAAAGAGAATACCAGGGATAGGTTTTAGGCAAGAGTAACACTGAGGAAGGGCAGGTTCTTGGCGTCGCTCAGGAAGAAATCCAAAAGCAAGCCTGTGGTGGAAGAAAGCAGCTCTAAGGAGGCATTGGCGGTGTTACACCCCTGCGTCCACTCCGGCAGGGCAGGGAGCCCTCCGTGGGTAGTGCTCCCAGAGCAGCAGCCGAGGGGTGGCTTGTAGTCATTTTTATGATTCACTTTTAATGGTATGCTAATTAAGGGGCGGGTTATTCATAAATAGCTAGAAATGGGCAGTAACTTCCATCTGTTTCCATGGCAAGGGGTGGGGAATTCTCGTGATGACATGGCATTGGCAAACTGTCATGGCACTGGTGGGAGCGTCTTCTGGTGACAGGTGTACCTAATAAAAATATGCTTAGTGACTTGGGATAAACCAATAGTTGTTCAAAAGTGATGGAGAGCCGTGAAAGAGAGATAGCGGTAAATAGTTACAATAACACAATTTTCCTGCACCTGTCGAGGATTTCCCCCAAAAAACGCAGAATGTGGGATGCACCTAAGGCATATGAAAGAGAGAGGGCAGAAGGAGTAAGAGAGAAATAGGAGGAAGGAAGGAAGGAAGGAAGGAAGGAAGGAAGGAAGGAAGGAAGGAAAGAAGGAAGGTAGGACGGAAGGAAGGAAGGAAGGAAGGAAAGAAGGACGAAAGGAAGGAGAAAACACCAGTGTTACTAAAACCCCCCAAAAAGTGGTTTCCCCCTGTGGGTAAGCCTACAATGTGGATGAATCTTGAAAATATTGTGCTACGTGTTATGTCAGTCATAGCAGCTCACCTATTGTGCAATTCCGTTTATAGGAAATGTCCACAATATGGAAATCTATGCATATGGGATTGATCGCACTAGGTAGTTGCTACCTAGGGCTGAGGGTCAGGGAGAGGGTTTGAGACAGAATGAGGAGTGACTAATGTCTACAGGGTTTTTCTCTGGTCGGGGGTGATAAGACGTTCTACAATGGATTGCGAATTAAAATTGAATGTGCACAACCACAGGTATAGTAAAAGCCACTCAATTCATGACGTTTAATGGGGGAATCTTATGTGGCGCACTCTCATGGAGACCACGGCAGACATAGTGAGAGAGAAAAAGGTGAGTAAGTGTCTGAAACGGAGGCAGAAACAGAGAGAATGAAAAGCCCTGTGAATGGAAGGGAGAGCGAAAAGGGAAAATGGTCCTATTTACAAATGACGGATGTGAAACTGGGGTTCACATCAACAGTGTCACTGCCAGGAAGGAGGGTCATGCTAGCCATGTCACCTGTAGTGTGGCCCGCAGGGACGCCGACCTGCTGGAGCGTCGTGCCAGCATGGGCTGTGGCATCCACGTGGGCCAGCAGGAGGTTCCCGCTGCACAGCTGTGGGGTGAGGATAGACTGGGTGGTGATATCGGCCATTACAGGGGCCTCTTCTGCTGGCAAGAGTGTGACAGTAGCAAGTAGATGGACAGGCCTGTGTGTGAGGACGTAATGCAGGAGGCGCTCTTGTGCGGCTGGGTGTGGGGCCCTCACGGGAACCGTGGAGAAATGGCCAGGTAACTGCGTCATGTGGGCTGGTAGATTGGCCAGGGCTTCGAACTGAAGGACGATAACGGGGAGTAGCTGTCAGGCCCTGGGAGTGCCTGAGTGTAAGTGGAGATGGGTTTGGGGTCACTGAGGGATGCGTGGGAGCCATCCCTGTATAGGTACAGGTCGTAGGGAGATAGCCTCGTGAGGCCTGTGAGTGTCTAGGGTTGTCCTGGGTGCCTGGGGCTGACTGTGGCAGAAATCTGGGGAAGGCTGGAGAGAAGCTGGGAGACCCAGGAGAGTCCCTGAAGGCAGGGGGTGAAGAGGTGAAAGAAATGGGGGAGGGTTGCAGTAAGGTCCGTGAGTTTGTAGGTGATTCCTGGGTGCGGGAAGCTGACTCCAGGTGAAATCTGGAGATGGTTGGAGAGTAGCTGAGAGAGACAGAAGAGTCCCTGAGGGCTGGGGGTGAGAACATGAGGGAGACGGGGGAGTAAGTCAGTGAAATTCGTGAGTTCGGTGGTGTATCGTGGGTGCCTGGAACTGACTCCAGCTGGAATCTAGAGAAGTTTTGAGAGTAGCTGAAAGAGACAGAAGAGTCCCTGTGGGCTGAGGGCAAAGACCTGAGAGAGACCAGGGAGGACCTCAGTGAAGTCTGTGAGTCTGTAGGTGATTCCGGAGTGTGGGAGGCTGACTCCCGCTGAAATGTGGGCGTGGTGGGAGAGTAGCTGGGACAGACAGGAGAGTCCCAGGGGGCTGGGGGTGAAGACATGAGAGAGAGTGGGGAGTAACTCAGTGAAATTGCTGAGTTGGTTGGTGATACCTGGGTGCCTGGAATGGACCCCCGCTGAAATCTGGGCATGGTTGGAGAGTAGCTGGGACACACAGGAGAGTCCCTGAGGGCTGGGGGTGAAGACATGAGAGAGACCGGGGAGTAACTGAGTGAAACTGGTGAGTTTGGTGGCGACTCCGGGGTGTGTGGAACTGACTCCAGCTGAAATGTGGGCGTGGTTGGAGAGTAGCTGGGACAGTCAGGAGAGTCCCTGAGGACTGGTGAAGACATGAGAGAGACTGGAGAGTAATTGAGTGAAATTGGTGAGTTTGGTGGTGATTCCTGGGTGCCTGGCACTGACTCCCGCTGAAGTGTGGGCGTGGTTGGAGAGTAGCTGGGACACACAGGAGAGTCCCTGAGGGTTGGAGATAAAGACGTGCTAGAGACTGAGGAGTAACTGAGTGAAATTGGTGAGTTTGGTGGTGATTCCGTGGTGCCTGGAACGGACTCCAGCTGAAATGTGGGCGTGGTTGGAGAGTAGCTGGGACAGACGGGAGAGTCCCTGAGGGATGGTGAAGACATGAGAGAGACTGGGGAGTAATTGAGTGAAATTGGTGAGTTTGGTGGTGATTCCTGGGTGCCTGGCACTGACTCCCGCTGAAGTGTGGGCGTGGTTGGAGAGTAGCTGGGACACACAGGAGAGTCCCTGAGGGTTGGAGATAAAGACGTGCTAGAGACTGAGGAGTAACTGAGTGAAATTGGGGAGTTTGGTGGTGATTCCGTGGTGCCTGGAACGGACTCCAGCTGAAATGTGGGCGTGGTTGGAGAGTAGCTGGGACAGACGGGAGAGTGCCTGAGGGATGGTGAAGACATGAGAGAGACTGGGGAGTAAGGCAGTGAAATTGGTGAGTTTGGTGGTGATTTCTGGGTGCCTGTAACGGACTCCCGCTGAAGTGTGGGCTTGTTTGGAGAGTAGCTGGGACAGACAGGCGAGTCCCTGAGGGTTGGAGATAAAGACGTGCTGGAGACTGGGGAGTAACTGAGTGAAAGTGGTGGGCTTGGTGGTGATCCCAGGGTTCCTGGAACTGACCCGCGCTGAAATGTGGGCGTGGTTGGAGAGTAGCTGGGACAGACTGGAGGGTCCGTAAGGGCTGGGGGTGAAGACGTGAGAGAGACTGGCGAGGATCTCACTGAGGTCTGTGAGTTTGTAGGTGTTTCTGGGGTGTGGGGTACAGACTCCCCCTGAAATCTGGGCGTAGTTGGAGAGTAGCTGGGACAGACAGGAGAGTCATGGGTGGCTGGGGGTGAGCTGCTGGATGATGGCAGTAAGAACATATGGTACATTATTGATGAATGAGGTGACTGTGAAGAATCTCCAGAGGAGGACTCGGGAGAACACAATGACATGAGTGACTGTCCTGCTTGGTTAGGAAAGGGAAACGTAAAGTTGTGGAATTCTGTTGATGATGGATGTGAGAGTGGTGAAGCCCTGCGGGATGATGTAGAGGACTTCCACATCCCTGGTGAGGAGCTGCCCCTTGGGTCTGAGTTTCTGGGAGGGGAGAGGGAGAAGCTGGGTGAGGCAGGCATGAATCTTGAGGAGTCAGGGCTGGGGGACCGCTCATATTCTCCCGAGACCTGTGAGTCTCTGGGGGACTCCTGGGTGCATGGGGCTGACTCCCGCAGGAACCTGGGGATGGCTGGAGAGTAACTGGGAGCCACAGGAGGGTCCCTGAGGCCTCGGGGTGAAGAGATGAAAGACACAGGGGTGGAGCACCGTGAGGCTCGTGAGTTTGTAGGTGATTCCTGGGTGTGGGGGACTGACTCCAGCTGAAATCTGGGGTTGTTTGGAGAGTAGCTGGGAGGCACAGGAGACCCCCCGAGAGCTGGGGGTGAGATGCTGGGTGATGGCAGTAAGAACCTGTGGTATATTGTTGATGAACGTGGGGACTCTGAGGAATCCTCAGAGGAGGACACGGGAGAGCCCAATGGCTTCATTGATTGCCCATCACGGTGAGGACAGGGAAATGGGAGCTTGTGGGATTCTGGTGATGACAGAGGTGAGTGTGGTGAAGCCCTAGGGGATGGTGAATGGTAGCTCCGGATCCCTGGTGAGGAGCTTCCCCTTAAGCCTGAGTTTCTGAGAGGGGAGAGGGAGAAGCTGGGTGAGGCTCGCATGGACCTTGGGTTGTCCGTGCTGGGGGAGCGTTCATAAGAAGAGCCAGACAAGACCCTACTCTTCTTAGGTGCAGACATGATAAGGATAAGAAATAAGGATGAGTTCAGAAATAAATGTGGGGCCCAGCATGTGGGGAGGGGCGCTCTACCTTCCAGGAAGTGTTATCCAGAAGCTCTCTGAACCCAGTCCTTTTGGGTTTTGATGGAGACCTCATTCTATAGGCATGATGGGTTAAACCATACGCTATTGGTGATCAACTCCACCTGAGGCTCTCCACCCTCCCTGGAAATTGGAGTTGAGGCTTTGCCATTCTCAGTCTGACTAAAAGAATTTATCCAAACGGAATTTTAAAACAGATGAGTATAACTGGAATCTTAATTAGATGATTGGATTATCTGGAGCCACACCTTGATATTCCTAACCCGAGCACCCTCATCCAACGAATGCTCCACCCAACTGGCTCCCAAGTCTCTACGTGGTTCCAGAGCAAAAGAATGTTTATACAACGCATATCTCCACCTTTTCTTCAAAGTCTTTTCGCTTACACGGAAAGACTTCTTCAACTGCCATGCATCAGGGTCAGGGGGAGGTCTTGTTACAACACAGATCTGCGGATCTCCGGGGTTTGATTGTGGCAAGGATGCTGCTGGTGTCAAAACCACAACGTGGGAAGCACAGAAACACTAGTTGGTTTTCAGTGTTTCAGTGCATACAGTTCCTAATATATCTGGCCAAGAAATCTTGTAAGTTCTTAGATTGTCACAAAGGTGGCGCATGAAATCAGAGCAGGAGAACAGTTTCCTACGAGGTGTATCCTGGGGAAGTTGGGGGTGACTGATGGAAAGGAGGAGTGAAGCTCCGCCCTTTCCTCTGCTAGGCTGCGCCCGAGGCTATTTAAACCCACCCTGGCTGGTCTGTAGTCAGATCTTCGCGGAGCGGATCAGCGGCCGGAGCGTTTGGCGGACTCTGCGTGGACTTGAAGCTCACAGCATCTTGCGACTTTGAAGCGGATTCAGAGGACAGGAGAGAACACTTGGGCAATTGAATCTCTTTCTGTGTGTCTGTCTGTCTGTCCCATTGTTTGGTTGATTTCCATTTTCTTCAGAGGCACATACATCACACCGCACACACACAAACACACACACACACACACGCACACACACTCACGCACACACACTCCTTCCTTCTGCGAGTTAGAACATTAGTAGGGACCCCTGGGTGCTGCAGGTTTCCTAACCATGTCTGCACCTAAGAACAGTAGGGTCTTGTCTGTCTCTTCTCTTGAACGGTCCCCCAGCCTGGAATCCCCATGGTCCATGCGAGCCTCACCCAGCTTCTCCCTCTAACCTCACAGAAACTCATGCTTAAGGGGAAGCTCCTCACCAGGGATCCGGAGCTACCATTCACCATCCCCTAGGGCTTCACCACACTCACCTCTGTCATCACCAGAATCCCACAAGCTCCCATTTCCCTGTCCTCACCGTGATGGGCAATCAATGAAGCCATTGGGCTCTCCCGTGTCCTCCTCTGAGGATTCCTCAGAGTCCCCACGTTCATCAATAATATACCACAGGTTCTTACTGCCATCACCCAGCAGCTCACCCCCAGCTCTGGGGGATCTCCTGTGTCTCCCCTCTACTCTCCAAACAACCCCAGATATCAGCTGGAGTCTGCCCCCCACACCCAGGAATCACCTACAAACTCACGAGCCTCACAGTGCTCCACCCCTGTGTCTTTCATCTCTTCACCCCCAGGC
Source organism: Homo sapiens (assembly GCF_000001405.40). Classification (NCBI taxonomy): domain Eukaryota; kingdom Metazoa; phylum Chordata; class Mammalia; order Primates; family Hominidae; genus Homo; species Homo sapiens. The sequence continues at coordinate 11,819,033 of NC_000022.11, forward strand.
CTCAGGGACCCTCCTGTGGCTCCCAGTTACTCTCCGGCCATCCCCAGGTTCCTGCGGGAGTCAGCCCCATGCACCCAGGGGTCCCCCAGAGACTCACAGGTTTCGGGAGAATATGAGCGGACCCCAGCCCTGACTCCTCAAGATTCATGCCTGCCTCACCCAGCTTCTCCCTCTCCCCTCCCAGAAACTCAGACCCAAGGGGCAGCTCCTCACCAGGGATGTGGAAGTCCTCTACATCTTCCCGCAGGGCTTCACCACTCTCACATCCATCATCAACAGAATTCCACAACTTTACTTTTCCCTTTCCTAACCAAGCAGGGCAGTCACTCATGTCTTTGTGTTCTCCCGTGTCCTCCTCTGGAGATTCTTCACAGTCACCTCATTCATCAATAATATACCATATGTTCTTACTGCCATCATCCAGCAGCTCACCCCCAGCCACCCATGACTCTCCTGTCTGTCCCAGCTACTCTCAAAATACGCCGAGCTTTCAGCGGTAGTCTGTACCACACACCCCAGAAACACCTACAATCTCACAGACCTCAGTGAGTTCCTCGCCAGTCTCTCTCACGTCTTCACCCCCAGCCCTTACCGACCCTCCAGTCTGTCCCAGCTACTCTCCAGCCACGCCAACATTTCAGCGCAGGTCAGTTCCACGAACCCGGGGATCACCACCAAGCCCACAACTGTCACTGAGTTACTCCCCAGTCTCCAACATGTCTTTATCTCCAACCCTCAGGGACTCGCCTGTCTGTCCCAGCTACTCTCCAAACACGCCCACACTTCAGCGAGAGTCCGTTGCAGGCACCCAGAAATCACCACCAAACTCACCAATTTCACTGCGTTACTACCCAGTCTCTCCCATGTCTTCACCATGCCTCAGGGACTCTCCAGTCTGTCCCAGCTACTCTCCAACCACGCCCACATTTCAGCTGGAGTCCGTTCCAAGCACCCCGGAATCACCACCAAACTCACCAATTTCACTCAGTTACTCCTCAGTCTCTAGCACGTCTTTATCTCCAACCCTCAGGGACTCTCCTGTGTGTCCCAGCTACTCTCCAAACACGCCCACACTTCAGCGGGAGTCAGTTCCAGGCACCCAGGAATCACCACCAAACTCACCAATTTCACTCAATTACTCTCCAGTCTCTCTCATGTCTTCACCAGCCCTCAGGGACTCTCCTGTCTGTCCCAGCTACTCTCCAACCACGCCCACATTTCAGCTGGAGTCAGTTCCACGCACCCCGGAGTCACCACCAAACTCACCAGTTTCACTCAGTTACTCCCCCGTCTCTCTCATGTCTTCACCCCCAGCCCACAGGGACTCTCCTGTGTGTCCCAGCTACTCTCCAACCATGCCCAGATTTCAGGGGGAATCAGTTCCAGGCCCCCAGGTATCACCACCAAACTCAGCAGTTTCACTGAGTTACTCCCCACTCTCTCTCATGTCTTCACCCCCAGCCCCCTGGGACTCTCCTGTCTGTCCCAGCTACTCTCCCACCACGCCCACATTTCAGCGGGAGTCAGCCTCCCACACTCCGGAATCACCTTCAGTCTCACAGACTTCACTGAGGTCCTCCCTGGTCTCTCTCATGTCTTTGCCCTCAGCCCACAGGTACTCTTGTGTCTCTTTCAGCTACTCTCAAAACTTCTCTAGATTCCAGCTGGAGTCAGTTTCAAGCTCCCACGATACACCACCGAACTCACGAATTTCACTGACTTACTCGCCAGTCTCCCTCATGTTCTCACCCCCAACTCTCAGGGACTCTTCTGTCTCTCTCAGCTACTCTCCAACCATCTCCAGATTTCACCTGGAGTCAGCCTCCCGCACCCAGGAATCACCTACAAAATCACGGACCTTACTGCAACCCTCCCCCATTTCTTTCACCTCTTCACCCCCTGCCTTCAGAGACTCTCCTGGGTCTCCCAGCTTCTCTCCAGCCTTCCCCAGATTTCTGCCACAGTCAGCCCCAGGCACCCAGGACAACCCTAGACACTCACAGGCCTCACGAGACTATCTCCCTATGACCTGTACCTATACAGGGATGGCTCCCACGCATCCCTCAGTGACCCCAAACCCATCTCCACTTACACTCAGGCACTCCCAGGGCCTGACAGCTACTCCCCGTTATTGTCCTTCGGTTCGAAGCCCTGGCCAATCTACCAGCCCACATGACGCAGTTACCTGGCCATTTCTCCACGGTTCCCGTGAGGGCCCCACACCCAGCCGCACAAGAGCCTCTCCTGCATTCCGTCCTCACACGCAGGCCTGTCCATCTACTTGCTACTGTCACACTCTTGCCAGCAGAAAAGGCCCCTTGTAATGGCCGATATCACCACCCAGTCTATCCTCCCCCCACAGCTGTGCAGCGGGAACCTCCTGCTGGCCCACGTGGATGCCACAGCCCATGCTGGCATGACGCTCCAGCAGGTCGGCGTCCCTGCTTGCCACACTACCGGTGATATGGCTAGCGTGATCCTCGTTCCTTGCAATGACACTGTTGATGTGAACCCCAGTTTCACATCTGTCATTTTTAAATAGGACCATTTTCCCTTTTCGCTCTCCCTTCCATTCACAGGGCTTTTCATTCTCTGTGTTTCTGCCTCCATTTCAGATATTTACTCACCTTTTTCTCTCTCACTATGTCTGCCGTGTTCTCCATGAGAGTGCGCCACATAAGATTCCCCCATTAAAAGTCATGAATTGAGTGGCTTTTAGTATACCTGTGGTTGTGCACATTCAATTTTAATTCGCAATCCATTGTAGAACGTCTTATCACCCCCGACCAGAGAAAATCCCTGTAGACATTAGTCACTCCTCATTCTGTCTCAAACCCTCAGGGCCTGATGTGAGGGCACTTTCGTCTGTAGGGGACACATGACCTGCTTCTCTGTGGCGCGGTTTTTTTTTTTTTTTCCTGCCATGGATGCCTCACCTCTCCTTCCTGAATTCTCACCTTCCCCTCATGGCCCTTCTGTCTTCCTTGGGGTACACCTAGCCGCCCGAGGTGCCCTGTGACCTCGAACCACGGACTCCAGGGTCCCTGAGGCCCAGCGCAAGGCCTGATGGGCAGACACTTTCGTCCGTGTGGAGGTCCCAGTCCCCGCTTCTCCGTGGCTGGGTTTTTTTTTCTCTGCCCCAGGTGCCTCACCTTCCTCTCTTGTGCCTTCTGCATGCTTTGGGGTACCCCTAGCGGCCCGAGGCACACCCTGGGCTCGAACCATGGAATCCAGGTTCCACTGGGCCAAGCGGATTGGCTGATGGGAAGACACGTTCTTCCTCGGGGACCCAGGCTCTTCTTCTCTGTGGCGTTTTTTTTTTTCTTTTCCCCATGTGCCTCACTTTCCCGTCATGGGCTTTCTGCCCGCCTTTAGGTACCCCTAGCCGGCCCGAGGCGCAGTGTTGTTTTGAGCCAGGGATGCTAGGGTCACCGTGACCCAGTGCAGGACTTATGGGTAGGGACGTTCGTCCATGGGGGACCCAGGCCCCACTTCTGGGCGGCGCAGTTTTTTATTTTCTTCTCTGCCACCGGTGTCTCACCTTTCCCTCATGGGCCTTCTGTCTGTCTTGGGGTACCCCTAGCAGTCCCAGGGGCAAGCTGTGCTCGAGCCGGGGATTCCAGGGTCCCCAGGGCGCAATGCAAGCGCTGATGGGAAGACAGTTTCTTCTGTGGGGGACCCAGGCCCCGCTTATCCGCGGCACGGTTGTTGTTGTTTTTTTTTCTCTGCCCCACGTGCGTCACCTTCCCCTCATGGGCCCTCTGCCCGCTTTTGTGTACCCCTAGCGGCCTGAAGCGCACCCTGGTCTCGAACAAGGAATGCCAGGTTCCCCTGGGCCCAGCGCAAGGGCTGATGGGAAGACACTTTCGTCCATTGGGGACCCAGGCTCCCCTTCTCTGTGGTGCAGTTTTTTTTTTTTCTGCCACAGGTGCCTCACCTCTCCTTCCTGAAACCTCAACTGCCCCTCATGGGATTTCTGACCGCCTTGTGGTACCCCTAGCGGGCCCGAGGTGCACCCGGGGCTCGAACCGGGGTCTCCAGCGTCCACAGCGCCCAGCGCAGGGACTGATGGGAAGGCATTTTCATCCTTGGGGGACCCAGGCCCAGGTTCTCCTAGGCGCGGCTTGTTTTCTTTTTTTTTTTTCTGCCACAGGTTCCTCACCTCTCCTCCCTCAAACGTCAACTTCCCATCATGGGCTTTCTGCTCGACTTGGGGTACCCCTAGCTGCCCAAGGCGCTCCCTGGACTCGAACCATGGATGCCAGAGTCGCCGGGGCCTAGCGCAGGGGCTGATGGGAAGGTACCTTCATCCGTGGGTACCCAGGCCCCGCTTCTCAAAGCTGCGGTTTTTTTCTCCGCCCCAGGTGCCTCACCTTCCCCTCACTGGCCCTCTGCCTGCTTTGGGGTACCACGCGCAGGCCCGAGGCGCTCCCGGGTCTCCAATCAGGGTCGCCAGGTTCTCGGGGCTAGCGCAGGGGCTGATGGGAAGGCACTTTCATCAGTGGGGACCCAGGCCCGGCTTCTCCGAGGTGCTGATATATATATATATATGTATTTTTTTTTTCTGACACAGGTGACTCACCTCTCCTCCCTTAAATCTCGCCTTCCTCTCATGGGCTTTCTGGCTTCCTTAGGGTACCCTAGCATGCTGGAGTCTCTTCTGGACCTTGAACTAGGGTCGCCAGAGTCCAGGGGGCCCAGCGCAGGGGCTGATGAGAAGGCACTTTCGTCCGTGGGAGACCCAGGTCCCGCTTCTCTTCCGCACGGTTTTTTTTTTTTCTGTCGCAGGTGCCTCACCTCTCTTCCCTCAAACCTCACCTTCCCCTCATGGGCCTTCTGCCCGCTTTGGGATACACCTAGCGGGCCCGAGGTGCACCCAGGCCTATAACCAGGTTCGCCTGGGTCCACGGGGCCCAGTGCAGGGACTGATGGGAAGGCACTTTCTTTCCATGGGAGACCCAGGCCCCACTTCTCCGTGGCGTGGTTTCTTTTTCTTTTCTGCCACAAGTGTCTCACCTCTCCTCCCTCACAGCTCACCTTCCTCTCATGGGCTTTCCACCGCCTTGGGGTACCCCTAGTGGCCCGAGGCTCTCACTGAGCTCGAACCAGGGACTCTAGATTCCCCGGGGCCCAGTGCAGGGCCTGATGGGAAGGCACTTTCATCCGTGGGGTACCCAGGCCACACCTTTCCGCGGCACGGGTTTCTTTTTTTTCTTTTACTGTGACAGGTGCCTCACCTCTCCTCCCTCAAAACTCACCTTCCCCTCACGGGCTTTGTGTCCCCAAAGCCCCCCTTGGGGTGCACTTGGCGGCCGAGGCACACCCTGAGCTTGAACGAGGGATACCAGGGTCCCTGGGTCCCAGTTCAGGGACTGATGGGAAGACACTTTCGTCTGTGGGGCACCCAGGCCGTGCTTCTCCGCGGCGAAGTTTTTCTTTTTTTCTCTGCCCCAGGTGCCTCACCTTCCCCTTAGGGGCTTTCTGCCCACCTTGGGGTACCCCTACTGTCCCGAGGCGTACCCCAGGGTCAAACCAGGGACGCCAGGGTCCCCAGGGCCCAGGGAAGGGGCTGATGGGATGGCACTTTCATCCGTGGGGGGCCCAGGCACTGCTTCTCGGCTGAGCGTTTTTTTTTTCTCTGCCTCAGGTGCCTCACCTTCCCCTCATGGACCTTTTGTTCGCTTTGTGGTACCCCAAGCTGTCCTGAGGCGCACCCTGGGCTTGAACCAGGGTCCCCAGTGTCCACCAGGCCCAGCATAGGGCCTAATGGGAAGGCACTTTCATCCGTGGGGAACCCAGGTCCCGCTTCTCTGATACGCGGTCCTCTTTTTTTTTTTTTCTGCCCCTGCTGCCTCACCTCTCCTCCCACAAACTTCAACTTCCACTCATGGGCCTTCTGTCCAAGTTGGGTTACCCCTAGTCGCCTGAGGCACACCCTGGGCGTGAACCAGGGATGCCAGGGTCCCTGGGGCCCAGCGCAAGGGCTGATGGGAAAAAACTTTCGTCCCTGGATGACCCAGACACCGCTTCGCGGCGCATTTTTTTTTCTTCTTTGCCCCAGGTGTCTCACCTTCCCCTCATGGGCCTTCTGCCTCTCTGCGCCTGCGCCGGCGCTGTGGGCCTCTCTGCGCCTGCGCCGGCGCTGTGGGCCTCTCTGCGCCTGCGCCGGCACTGTGGGCCTCTCTGCGCCTTTCGCCAGCGCTGTGGGCCTCTCTGGGCCTGCGCCGGCGCTGTGCTCCTTTGTGAGGGCGGAGCTGCGTTCTTCCCAGCACAGACAAGGAAAGCATCGCCAGGGCGGAGCTGAGTTCTCCTCTGCACAGACTTCAGAGATACAGCGAAGGCGGAGCAGTGTTCTCCTCAGCACAGACCCAGGCGGGCCGGGGGCACCGCGAGGGCGGAGCCGCGTTCTGCTCAGCACAGACCCGGGGGACACCGCTAAGGCAGAGCAGCCTTCTCCTCAGCACAGACCTTTGGGGCACTGCCTCGCTTTGGGACAACTCGGGACCGCATAGACGGTGAATAAAATCCTTCCCTTTTGCAGCCCTGAATAATCAGGATCAGAGACCAGTTAGAAGGGCTCAGTGTGGAAAAGGGAAACCAAAAGCCCCTCTGAATCCTGACCACCGAGGTTCTCCCCAGCCAAGCCGAGGCGGCCGCAGTGCGAGATCCACACCGCAGCCTCGGAAGACAAATGCAGCATTCCTAATGCAGACATGACACCCAAAATATGACACCCCCATTGCTCATGTAACAAGCACCTGTAATGCTAATGCACTGCCTCAATACAAAAATATTAATATAAGATCCGCAATCCCCTTGCTGCCATGCAGTCCTAAGACAGAGATCATAATAATCAACATTGGCATAGTACAAACGTAGTAACGAACCTAGGGTTAAGGTTGGTGTTAGGGTTAGGGGTTAGGGGTTAAGTTTAGGGTTGGGGTTTGAGATAGGGGTTGGGGTCAGAGTTAAGAGTTAAGAGTCAACGTTTAGAGTTAGAGGTTAGGAGAGGTTAGGGGTTAGGGATAAGGGGTTAGGGTTGGATTAGTGTGAGGGTGAGGGTTGTGGTTAGGGGTTAGGCTTAGGGTTTATGGTTAAGGGTTAGGGTTAGGGGTTAGGGTTAGGGTCAGGGGTTAGGGGTCAGGGTCAGAGGTTAGGGATCAGGGTCAGGGGTCAGGGTCAGGTTCAGGGGTCCCACTCTTTGAGTTGTCCATTTACTCTGCTGACTGTTCCCTTTGCCATGCAAAAGCTGTTTAGTTTAATTAAGTCCCAGCTATTTATCTTTGTTTTTATTGCATTTGCATTTGGGTTCTTGGTCATGAAATCCTTGCGTATGTCAATGTCTAGAAGGGTTTATCCAGTGTTATCTTCTAGAATTTTTATAGTTCAGGAATTAGGTTTAAGTTCTTAATCCATCTTGAGTATATTTTTGTATAAAATGAGAGATGAGAGTCCAGTTTTATTCCCCTACATGTGGCTCGCCAATTATCCCAACATCATGTGTTGAAAAGGGAGTCCTTTCTCCACTTTATGTTTTTGTTTACTTTGTCGAAGATCAGTTGGCTGTAAGTATTTGGGTTAATTTCTGAGTTCTCTCTTCTGTTCCATTGTTCTATGTTCCTATTTTTAAACCAGTACGTTGGTGTTTTGGTAGCTATGGCCTTATTGTACAGTTTGAAATCAAGTAGTGTGATACCTCCAGGTTCTTTTTGCTTAGGCTTGGTTTGGTTACATGGCTCTTTTTTGGTTCCATATTAATTTTAGAATTGTTTTTGTAATTTTGTGAAGAATGATGGTGGCTTTCAGATGGGGATTGCATTGAATTTGTAGATTGCCTTTAACAGAATGGTAATTTTCACAATATTGGTTCTACCCATCCATGAGCATGGGGATGCATTTCCATTTGTTTGTGTCATCTATGACTTATTTTCTTTCGTTTTTTTTTTTTTTTTTTTTTTTTTTTCAGAGGGAGTTTAGCTCTTGTCGCTGAGGTGTGAGTGCAATGGTGTGATCTCGGCTCACTACAACTTCTGCCTCCCGGGTTCAAGTGATTCTCCTGCCTCAGCTTCCCGAGTAGCTCGGATTATAGGCATGTGCCACCGTGCTTGGCTCCATCTATGATTTCTTTCAGTAGTGTTTTGTAATTTTCATTGTAGCTGTCCTTTTATTTCTTTGCTAGGTATATTCCTAAGTTTTGTTTTTTTGTTGTTGTTTGTCGCAGCTATTGTAAAAGGGGTTGAGTTCTTGATGTGATTCTCTGCTTGGTAGCTGTTGATGTATGGAAGAGCTACTGATTTGTGTCCATTAATCTTGTATCTGGAAACTTTGCTGAATTCTTTTATCAGTTCTAGGAGGTTTCTAGAGGAGTCCGTAGCGTTTTCTAGGCAAAAGATTATATCATCAGCAACAAGTGACAGTTTGACTTCCTGTTTACCGATTTGGATTTCCTCTATTTCCTTCTTTTGTCTGATTGCTCTGGCTAGGACTTCCAGTACTATGTTGAAGAGGAGTGGTGAGAGTAGGCTCCTCGTCTTGTTCCAGTTCTCAAAGGGAATGCTTTCACCGTTTCCCCATTCAGTATTATGTTGGTTGTGGGTTTGTCATAGATGGCTTTTATTACATTAAGGTATGTCCCTTGTATGCCTATTTTGCTGAGAGCTTTAGTCATAAAGCAATGCTAGATTTTGTCAAATGTTTTTTCTGCACCTGTTGATATAATCATATTAGTTTTTTTTAATTCTGTTTATTTGGTGTATCACACTTATTGACTTGCATATGTGAAACCACTCCTATATCATTGGTATAAAACCCACTTGATCATGGTGGATTATTTTTTGATATGTTGTCGGATTCAGTTAGATAGTATTTTGTTAAGGATTTTGGCATCTGCGTTCATCAAGGATATTGGTCTGTAGTTTTCTTTTTTGGTTATGTCCTTCCATGGTTTTGGTATTAGGGTGATTCTGGCTTCATAGAATGAATAAGGGAGGGTTTCTTCTTTCTCTGTCTTGTGGAATAGTATGAAAAGATTGGTATCATTTCTTCCTTGAATGAAAGAAGACATTCTTTGAATGTCTGGTAGAATTCTGCTGTGAATCTGTCTGTCCCTCGGCTTTTTTTGCTGGTAATTTTAAAATTACCATTTCAATCTTGCTGCTTGCTTTATTGGTCTGCTTGGGGTATCTAATTCTTCCTGATTTAAGCTAGGAGAGTTGTATTTTTCCAGGAGTTTATGTGCCAAAAGGTGTTCATAGTACCCTTGAATAATCTTTAATATTTCAGTGGTGTCAGTTGTAAGATCCCCTGTTTCATTTCTTATTGAGGTTATTTGGATTTTCTCTCTTCTTTTCTTGGTTAATTTTGCTAATGGTCTATCAATTTTATTTATCTTTTCAAATAACCAACTTTTTGTTTTATTTATGTTTTGTATTTGTTGTTGTTGTTGTTGTGTCAATTTCATTTAGTTGTGCTCTGATCTTTGTTATTTCCTGTGTTTGCTGGGATTGGGTTTGGCTTGTTCCTGCTTCTCTAGTTCCCTGAGAAGTGAACTTAGATTGTCTGTTTGTGCTCTTTCAGACTTTTTGATGTAGGTTTTTAGGACTACAAACTTTGCTCTTAGCAGTGCCTTTGCTGTATCCCAGAGGTCTTGATAGGTTATGTCATCCAGTTCAAAGAAATTTTTTACATTTCCATCTTGATTTCATTTTTCACCCAATGCTCATTCTGTGAGGAACAACAAATTGTTTTCCGCAGCAAGGGCATCATTTTCTATTCCTAGCAGCCAGATCATGAGGGCTCCAACTTCTCCACCTCCTTAGCAACATTTATTTTCTGTGTCATTGTTATGAAAGCCTTACTTGTGGATGCAGAGTGGCATGAATGAAGTCAATTAACACGTTTATTACCTCACAGAATAGTCACCTTTTTGTGTGCATGGGTGGGATAAGAAAACTTAACTCTATCCCCTGTGACGGAATAGTGGCCATTCCAGCTGCTCCAGGCTCCAGCAGAGGAAGACCGGGGTATGTGGCCCCACCAGGGTGACCCTCAGGCCTGGCGCGCACGCATTCCAGAGGCCACCCAAACCATGCTCCGCCATCTGGGCGCCCAAGCTGCCGTCGCCCTCTGTGTGCAGGCAGCAGCTGCCTGGCAACCCCCGAGCCCGCTCGCGCTCCTAGCATCATAGAAGCAGGGCCACGTGTCCCAGTGGCTGCAGCCAAGCCAGGCATTCTGCCCTGCTGCAGCAGCTGCACAGGAGCGAGAACTGAGAAGCCACCGCTCAACCCCACACGAGGTGACTGCCGAGTGCCCATACAAATGGCTCCGATCTCCCTCAGGTGGAGGAGTGGTCGGGAGGCACGGCCTGGGGGCCCTCACGCTGGGCGCGCTGGTGATCCCAAGGCCGACCAGGCCATGCACCTCCAGCCCGCCTGGGCACCCGAGCTGCAGCCGCCTTCTGCGTGCAGGCAGCAGTCTCCAGGCAACTCCCGAGCCCGCCCACACTCCCCACATCTCGGAAGCAGGGCCAAATGTCCCTGTGGCTGTGGCCAAGCCAGGCGGTCTGTCCCGCAGCAGCTGCACAGGGGCGGGAACCGGCCCTCAGCCCCATCCCCTGTGGCTGCAGAGGGCCCCTGGATAGAGATGTGGAGCTCTGACAGAGGAGGAGCCGGGCCGGGACAGGGTCTGGCAGGCTCTCAGGCCAGGGGCACCCGCGATCCAGAGGCTGCCCAGGGCATGCTCCACCACCTGGGCGCCCAGCTACAGGCGCCGGGCGACTCCCAAGCTGGCTGGCGCTCCCAGCCTCGCAGAACCGGGGCTAGATGTCGCCGTGGCTGCGACCAAGCCAGGCGGTCTGCCCAGGGGCGGCTGCACCGGGGCAGGAACCGACCCTCAGCACCATCCCCGGTGGCTGCAGACGGCCCCTGGGGTGGCCCCGATCTCTCTTCGGAGGAGGAGAGGGGCGGGAGTCACGGCCAGGCGGGCCCTCAGGCGGGAAGGAATGTGCGCCTGCCATTCCGGGACGTCCCGCGCCAGCCCAGGAGAACCCGCAAGCCAGCGGCGCCTGTTTCTCTGTGTGATTCTTTGAGGAACCACCAAACTCTTTTCCACAGCAAGTGCATCATTTTCTATTCCTAGCAGCCAGTTCATGAGGGTTCCAGTTTCTCCACCTCCTTAGCAACATTGATTTTCTGTGTCGTTGTTATGAAAGCCTTACTAGTGGATGCAAAGTGGCATCTCATTTGGGTTTTACCTTGCATTTTATTAATGAATAATGGTGTTTAGCATCTTTTCTTTTCCTTCTTAGACATTTGTGTATCTTCTTTGGAGAAATGTCTGTTCAAGTCCTTTGACTATTTTTTAATTGGGATCTTAGAAATTCTGTTGTTGAGCTGTGGGATATTAAGCTTTTATCAGATACACATTTTGATTTTATCAGATACATATTTTCTCACATATTATGGGTTGTCTTTTCACTCCCTTGATAGTATCCTTTGATGCATAAAGGGTTTTTTATTTTGATTCAATCTAATTTTCCTGTATTTTCTTTTGTTATCTGTGCTTTTCTGTCACATTTCAAAATACACTTAAAACTCAAAGGCCATAAAGGTTTACCGTGTGTTTTCTTCTAAGAGTTACATATTTTTAGTCCTTACATTTAAGTCTTTTATTAATTTAGAATTAATTTTTGTATATACTGCAAGGTAGGGGTCTAACTTCTCTCTTGTGCACTGACATCCAGCTGTTGAAGAGACTGTTCTTTCCTCCCTTGACTAGACTTGGCCACCTTGTTGAACAGTCATTGACCATATATGTGAGGACTAACTTGTAGTATCTCAAATCTGTTCTGTTGTATTGGTCTGAAAGCCTATTGGTCTTATTCCAGTACCACACTCTCTTGATTACTGTAGATTTGTAGTAGGCTGTGAAACTGAAAAATGTGAGTTTTCCAATGTTCTTTTTCAAGACTGTTTTGTCTGTCAGATCCTTTGAATTTTTGTATGACTTTAGAATGAGTTTCTTTGTTTCTGCAAAAATGCCTTTGGGATTTTGATGGTATTGCATTGAATCTGTAGATTACTTTAGATGGTATTGTCATCTTAACAATATTGTCTTACAACCCGTGAACACAGAATGTCTTTCCACTTATTTCCACTCTCTTTAGTTTTTTGCAGCAATGTTTTGTGTATACCACCATGGTTAGATTTATGCCTGAATAACGTATTCTTTGATGTCATTATAAATGGAATTTTTAAAATGTTTTCATAGTTCTTTACAACTATATAGAAATATAGCTCATTTGCCTATGTTTGTTTGCATCCTGCCTCTTTTATTAGTTATAATCGGTTTTGTGTTTTGTTTGGAGCTTTATACCCATAAGACCATGTGTAGATATAATTTTACACCTATTCTTTATTTCTAATTTAGATGCCTTTTATTTCTTTGTCTTGCCTAATTGCTCTGGCTAGAACTGCCAGTGCTACGTTGAATACAAGTGGCAAATGCACCATCCTTTTCTTCTAGATGTTAGGAAAACAGCTTTCAGTGTTTCATCATTGATCATGATATTAACTGTTGGGTTTTTGTACATCCCATTGTCATGTTGCAGAAGATCCCTTCTATGCCTAGTTTATTGAGTATTTTTATTATAGAAGGGTGTTGTATTTCATCAATGTTTTCTCTGCAGCAATTGAAATAATCACGTGCTTATTCATTTTACTGTTACAGCATATTACACTGATTGATTTTTTATATGTTGAACCACGCTTGCATTTTGGGGATAAATCTCAAAGGGTGATAGTTTACAATCCTTTGATTATACAGTAGTGCTGCTAGTATTTTGCTAGTATTGCTAGTATTTTGCTGAGATTTTTGCTTATATATTCATAAGGGATATAGTGCTGTATTTCTCTCTTTTGTGCTCTCTTTGTCTTTGGTATAAGGATAATGCTGTTATCAAAAAATGAATTAGCAAGTATTCCTTCTTCATATATTTTGTCAGAAGAGTTTGAGAAGAAATGGTATTAATTCTTCTTTAAATGTTAGGTTGACTCACCAGTTAATGCAGCTATTTGGTCATACATGTTTCTTTGTTAATCGCTTTCGATTACTAATTCAATCTCCTAGGTTATAGGTCTATTCAGATTTTCTCTTTCTTCTTGAGCCACTTTGGTAGTTTGTGTCTTTCTAGCGATTCATCCATTTCATCCAGGGCACCTAATTTGTTGCTAGACAGTTGTTCACAGTATACTCCTGTAATCCTTTTTTATTTCTGTAAAGTTGGTAGTAATGGCTCTGCTTTCATTTATTATTTTAATAATTAGTCTCCCATCTTTTGCTCAGTCAATATAGTGAAAGGCTTGATCTTTCAAAGAATCTACATTTTTTCATTCTACTGTTCTCCAACCTTCTATTTTATTGATTTATGCTCTAATTATGCTCTTTATTATTTCTTTCCTTCTGCTAGCTTTGGATTTAGTCTTCCACCTGGATTTATTTTGGGAGTGATATTGATGTAACTTCATGGAAATAATACTAGATAGAAAGTTAGCGGATAGATTCTCTATCTGATGAGAGTTTGGGGCAAGTCGAGTACCAGGTTACCAAGTTTTATTTTTTTCTCTGACCCAAAAAACAATTTGGCAGCCGGTGAGAAACTCTCACAGCTCTGGATCTGAGTTTAGGACACTGCATTTCTACCATTCAATTTCTTACTACTTTTTTGCACAGGGATCATGGCACAAGTTGCAGTTTCCACCCTGCCAATGGAAGATGAGGAGTCCATGGAAGATGAGGAGTCCATTGAAGATGAGGAGTCTGTTGAAGATGATTCCGTGGAGAGCAGGATGGTGGTAACATTTCTCATATCAGCTCTCGAGTCCACGGTGAGACCTTCTGTTCTAACATGATATAATTGGGTAGAACTGGGTGGTAGATAAGGTTGATTTGTTTTTGTAGAACTTATAATTTTATGATTTGTAGTTCTAATGAGTAGATCTTTTTCTGGAATAGTAGTTATGGTCAAACACTTCTAACCAAATGTGCCATGTTGTCCAGTCTGGTCTCAAAATATGGGGCTCAAGAGACCTGCCCACCTTGGCCTCCCAAAATACTGGGATTACAGGTGTAAGCCCCTGAATCTGGCCAGATATTTTTCTTTTTATGGCTGAATAATACTCTGTGTATGTATATATTACATTTTCTTTATCTATTCACCTACTGATGGGCATTAGGTTTGGGCTACCTTTTGGCCACTGTGAATAATGCTGCTGTTAATTGGGTGTACAAATACCTGTTTGAGTCCCTGCTCTCAGTTCTTTTGGGTATATACGCTTAAAGGGTGTTGATGGATCATATAATTCTATGCTTCATATTTTTAAGGAGCTGCTAAACCATTTTCCACAGTGGGCTGTACCATTTTACATTCCAAAAAGCAATGCATACAGCTTCCAATTTCTCTATAGCATTGCTGACAGTTAATATTTTCTGTTTATGTATTGTATTTTTATAGTGTTTGAAATTAATCTGAGGCTTTTTGCTGATACCAAAATATTAGGAAAGGTTTTCCAAAAATAATACTGCTTATTATAAAGGATTTTACGTGTTACTTGATGCCCTGTGATCTGTTTTCTAAGTAAGAAGAGGAACTTCTTGGCTGGGCACAGCGGCTCATGCCTGTAATCCTAGCACTTTTGGAGGCCGAAGTGGGTAGATCACCTAAGGTCAGGAGTTCAAGACCAGCCTGGCCAACATAGTGAAACCCAGTCTCCACTAAAAAAAAAAAAAAAATTAGCTGGGTGTGGTGGGGGGTGCCTCTAATCCCAGGTATTCGGAAGGCTGAGGCAGAGAATTGATTAAACCCATAAGGCAGAGGTTACAGTGACCGAGATTGCACCACTGCACCCCAGCCTGTGTGACAGAGCGAGAGTTCATCTCAAAAAAAAAAAGGAAAGAAAGAAGAGGAACTTCTCTCCATCCAGCCTCATTCCACTGCACCAACTCTTCTGTGTCGGGTTGTGCAGGAGAGAAAGGGAGCTTGGCAACTCTTTGCTGTGCTGAGTTGTGGTAGCCCATCACTGGGTTGTAAAGTGCCTTGCCTCCTTTCCTCCCCTCCTTTTTTTTTGAGACAGAGTCTCACTCTGTCGTCCAGGCTGAGGTGCAGTGGTGCGATCTCTGCTCACTGCAACCTCAGCCTCCTGGGTTCAAGTGATTCTCCTGCCTCAGCCTCCCAGGAAGCTGGGACTACAGGCACATGCCACCACACCTGGCTAACTTTTTTTTATTTTTAGTAGAGAAAGGGTATCACCATGTTGGCCAGGCTGGTCTTGAACTCCTGACTTCAGGTGATCCACCCACCTTGGCCCCCCAAAGTGCTGGGGTTAAAGGCATGAGACACTGCGCCCGTCCACCTCCTCTTTTACTTGGGAGAAATGCACAGATTCTGGGTGCCATGTGCATTTGTTTTGGGAGTGATAATTGATCTAACTTATGGAAATAATACTAGATAGTTAGCGGATGGATTCTGTATCTGATGAGAGTTTTGGGCAAAACGAATTCCTAGTTTCTGAGTCTTATTTTTCCCCTGATTCAAGAAAACTGTGAATTATCCAGCCAGTAAAAAACTCTCACAGCTCTGGATGTGAGTTTAGGACACTGGATTTCTACCACTCATTTTCTTACTACTTTTCCTGTGCAAGGATCATGGCACAAGTTGCAGTTTCCACCCTGCCCATTGAAGATGAGGAGTCTGTTGAAGATGAGGAGTCCTTGGAGAGCAGGATGGTGGTGACATTCCTGTCAGCTCTCGCCTCCATGGTCAGACCTTCTGTTCTCACATTCTGTAGTTCGGTAGGACTGGGCGGTAGATAAGGTTGATTTGTTTTCGTAGAACTTACAATTTTGTGATTTTTAGTTCTAATGAGTAGACCTTTTTCGTGAATAGTAGTTACGATCAAACACCTCTGACCAAATGTGCATGTGGAGTTTCTACACTGATTTTCAGACAATCTGGATCCCAACTGGGTATCCCACAATTCCATCCTGACACTCCCTGGAGTTAGTGCAGACCCCGCAGGATGGGAGCTCAGTCCCAGGAGTCTACCCTCACTCCACATGCCAATTGCAAGTCTTGGGTTGTTACATGTAGTTTTGACCAACCAGTTAGAAAACAGGGTTTCATGACCCCCATTGGTGGGTGGAATCATTTGCTCGGACAGCTTGCAGAACTCAGAAAAACAGATTGTTTTCTTTTTTTCCTGAGATACAGGGTCTCAGTCTGTTGCCAGGCTGGAATGCAGTGGTGTGATCAAAGCTCACTGTAGCATGGGACTCCTGGGTTCAAGTGATCCTCCCACCTCAGCCTCCCAAATAGCTGAGATTATAGGCCTGTACCAGCATATCTGGCTATGTTCTTTTACTTTTTGTAGAGATGGGGTCTTGTTATGTTGCCCAGGCTGGTCTCAAATTTCTGGGCTCACGTGATCCTCCCACCTCAACTTCACAAAATGCTGGGATTATGGGCATGAACCACTGCATCTCACCAATTTACTTTCTTTTACTGGTTCATTTTAAAGGCTAAATCTCAGAAACAGCCAGTGAAAGAGATGTACATGCTGGGCACAGTGGCTCATGCCTGTAATTTCAGCACTTTGGGAGACTGAGGCGGGAGCATCGCTTAAGTGCTCAGGAGATTAAGACCAGCCTGGGTAACAAGGTGGAAATGTATCTCTACAAAAAGATTTTTCTAAAAATTAGCCAGGCACAGTTATCTATAGTTCTAGCTACTCAGTGCCTATAATTCTAGCTACTCAGGAGGCTGAGGTGAGAGGATGAGAGGATGGGGCTTGAGATAGGGAGGCATAGTTCACAGTGAGCCACGATTGTGCCATGGCACTCTAGGCTGGGAGACAGAGCCAGACTCTGTCTCAAAAAAAAAAAACCCACAGGGCAAGGTATGTCGAAAGGGGTACAGAACTTCCATGTCCTCTATTGTGCATGTTACCTTCCTGGTATCTCCCTTGTGTTCAGCAACCCAGACATTCTCCAACTCCAGTTGTTGAGGGCGCTTATGAACGCTTCATTATGCAGGCAAGATTGATGAAGTCATTGACCATTGGTGATTAAGTCAGTCTTCGGCCACTATTTCTTCCTGGAGCCCAGGGGGTGAGGCTGACAGTTCCAAGCCTCTAATCACATGGTTTGTTCTTCTGACAACAACCACCCCTTTTTCTGAAGCTGTCTAGGAGTTTTCAGTCACCCAGTCATCTCAGTAACATCACCAAATGCATTCTTACTATGGTGATCCCAAAGGTCTTAGAGGCTCTTGTGTTAGAAACCTGGGACTAAGACCAAATATTGAAACAGAAGATGCCCCATCACCTTCATCACCAAGGCCTTTATAAGAGCTTGAGAAGCTCTGTGCCAGGATGACGGGCAGAAACCAAATGTGTATTTCTTTTCTTTTTCTTTTGAACACAGAGTCTCTGTTTCACCCAATCTGGAGTGCAGTGATGTTGTTGTAGCTAACTGCAGCCTCAACCACCTGTGCTCAAGCAATTCTCCCACCTCAGCCTTCCAAGCATCTGGGACTACAGGTGCACACCATCCATGCCCAGCTAATTTTTGTATATTTTTGGAGAGGTGGGATCTTGTTATATTGCCGAGGCTGGTCTTGAACTCTGGGGCTAAAGCGATCCATTCACCACAACCTCTCAAGTAGCTGAAACTACAGATGCATACTACCATGCCCAGCTAATTTTTTCTTATTTCTTTTTGTTGTTTAATTGAGGGGGTCTCGCTGTGTTTCCCAGGCTGGTCCTGAAGTTTTGGCCTCAAACGTTTCTCCTGCTTTGACCTCCTAAACTGTTGGGATTATGGTTGTGAGCCACGGCCTCTGTGTCCAGCAATCACAAGAGGTCTTTATAAGTGAAAGAGGGAGGTAAGAGAGTCCGAATTGAAGGAGATTTGATGATGGAAGCACAGGTCACAGAGGGAGATTCGAATATGCTTTGCTTCTGGCTTTGAAGATGCAGTTAGGGGCCATGAGCCAAAGAATAGGAGTGGCTTTAGCAACTGGGAAAGGCAAGGGAACATATTCTCTCCAGAACCTCCAGAAGGGATGCAGTCCTGCTGGCACCTTGACTTTAGCCTTAATAGACCTATTTTGGACTTCTGGCCCCCAGACCTCTTAGTTAGTAGATTTGTGGTGTATTAAGCCACTCAATGTAGGGTAGTTTGTAACAGCGGCAAGAAGAAATGAACATGAAGCCAGAATTGGTGGCCCACACCTATAATTCCAGCTATTTAGGAGGCTGAGGCAGGATGGTTGCTTTGGCCCAGGAGTTCACGGTAAGTCTGGGCAACAAAATAATACCCTGTCGACATGGAAAAAAAAAATTAGCGGGTGTGGTGGCATGCACTTGTAGTCTTAGCTACTAGAGGCCCTGAGGCAGGACAATTTCTTGACCTAGGTGCTCCAGGTCTCAGTGCGTTGTGATCGTGCCATGGCACCCCAGTCTGAGTGACACAGCGAGATTATATCTTAGAAAAAAAAAGAAAAAAGAAATGAGTGAGCATGGCAGGAATAGGGACAGATAGCAATATTAAATAGAGTGGTCAGGGTTGGCCTCCTAAGTGAAAATTGAGCAAAGACTTGAAGGAGGGGAAGGAGCTGGCTAAGGTACTGAGGGAAGAGCATTGTAGGCAGAAACAACAGAATAAAGATGCTAAGAGGGAACTCCGTGGTGTGTCTGAAGCTCAGGAAAGAGGTCTGTGGAGTAGAGAGAGGGAGAGAAGTAGGGAAGGAGGCCAGGGAGTTGTTGGACTCAGATCAGTACAGATTGTGTAAGCCCTGGGAGGCTATTGCTGGGGCTTTGGTTTTTATTCTGTCTGAGATGGGAGAAGCAGAAGGGTTCTGAGCAGAGAGGTGACACGAACTGTCTACTGATTTAAAAGCATCCCATGGCAGCTGAGTTGAGAAAGATTGTGGGAAGATTTGGGTAGAAGCAGGGAGGCCATGCTGTGGCAACCTCCAGGTGGGAGATGATAGTGGTTCTGACCAGGGCCCTGGCAATGGTGAGAGATGGTTGATTCTTGTTGAAATACTAAGTAATTAAAAAAAAAACCACTACTGCTTTTCCCAATTATATGAAGTATGGGATGCTAGATTACAGAAATCTTAAGTCGGGCCAGGTGCAGTGGCTTATGCCTGTAGCTTCAGCACTTTGGGAGACAGAGATGGGAGAATGGTTTGAGTCCAGGAGTTTGAGACCACCCTGGGCAACACAGCAAGACCTCCTGTCTATGCAAATAAAAATTAATAAAATATAATTATCCCGGCATAGTGGTATTTTCCTGTAGAACCTGTTACTTAGGTTGTTGAGGTGGGCAGATCTCTTGAGGGCGGGAGTTTGAGGCCAGCTTGGGCAACATAGCAAGGCTCCTCTTTCTACAAAAAAAAAAAAAAATTAGCTGGGTGTTTTGGTGTTCATCTGTAGCTGTAGCTATGGTGAGGGTGAGGCAGGAGGATCCCCAGAGCCCAGGAGGTCACGGCTGCAGTTAGCTATGAGTGCACCCCTGCATTGCAGCCAGAGTGACAGAGTGAGACCCGGTCTCAGAATACAGATACAAGTAAAGAAATCTCAGCTCAGAGCAGTCTGTTTGTCACTATGCAGCCTTTGCAACCCCATAGCTGCGTGATTGGGTTTGTGTTGCTGGAGATGAGGAGACCCGTGCCCAGGTGTTGTTGCCTGTCTAATCAGTTTATTTTAAAATATATTAAGGAAATTTATTTCATCATACTTTATGGCCTCATACCTGAGTGGTTTTTTGAATTCTCTTTTGAATAGCTTGTAACTATTCAAACCTCTTATTGGTTCTATAATTAATTCTTTTTCTAATTAGTTTTTTAAAAATCAGAATTGATACTAGACCAATCAGTTATTAATGAGGAGATGAAATTGAGTTGTTTGTACACTTTATCTAAGATAGTGTTATATTGGCTAACTCAAATCAGTAGTTCAGCAAATGCAGAGTCAGAGCTTCTTCAGCGTGGAACTCTCTTGTGGTTCTTGAAGATGCCAATTCTTTTTTTTTTTTTTTTTTTGAGACAGCATCTTCCTCTGTCACCAGGCTCGAGTGCAGTGGCACAATCTCAATTCACAGCAACTTCTGCCTCCCGGGTTCAAGCATTTCTTTTGCCTCAGCCTCTGAAGTAGCTGGGACTACAGGCACATGTCACTATGCCCGGCTAAGCTTTGTATTTTCTGTAGATACGGGGTTTCAGCATGTTGGACAGGCTGGTCTTGAACTCCTGACCTTGTGATCCACTGGCCTTGGTCTCC
This sequence comes from Homo sapiens, assembly GCF_000001405.40. Taxonomy (NCBI): domain Eukaryota; kingdom Metazoa; phylum Chordata; class Mammalia; order Primates; family Hominidae; genus Homo; species Homo sapiens. The sequence continues at coordinate 11,839,372 of NC_000022.11, forward strand.
TAAAGTGCTGGGATTACAGGTGTGAGCCACCGTGCCTGGCCTCTTTTTTCAGTCTTTAATAAACTGCTGCCATCATTTCAGACCACTTGCTATTTTAGGCACTTAGAAATTTTTCACTGGAATTCACGTAAAGAAAGACCATGGGTGTTTGTACTGGATTTAGTATTCATCCTTCGACTGCATGACTCACCCCTAGTGCCATAATTTACTAATGAATTTTTCAGATACTACTCAGCTGGCCACTGAACCTAACCAGCAACCCACCCTCAACCATTCAGTGGTATTTTGTTCTTCTCTGTTCCTCCTGAATGTTGATTACTCTCAGAAGGTGATAAAAACTTGGATTTCTTTTTTTTTTTCTTTCTAGAGACAGGGTTTTGTTCTGTCACCCAGGCTGCAGTGCGGTGGCATGATCATGGTTCACTGCAGCCTGAAACCCCGGACTCAAACAGTCCTCCCACCTCAGCCTCCCAAGTAGCTGGGACTACATACATTTGCCCCTATGCCCAGCTAACTTCTTTATTTTTTATTGTACAGATGGGATCTTGCTGTGTTGCTCAGGATGTTGTCAGACTCCTGGCCTCAAGTGATCATTCTGCCTCAGCTTCCCAAAGTGTTTGGATTATATGTAGGTGGGAGCCACCTGTGTTCAATGCCCATTTTCTTTTTCTTTCTTTCTTTTGGAGACGGACTCTCACTCTGTCATGCAGGCTGGAATGCAGTGGTGTGATCTCAGCTGACTGCAACCTCCACCTCCCTGGTTCAAGCAACTCCCCTGCCTCAGCCTCGCGACTAGCTGGAATTACAGACCCATGTCACCACTCTCAGCTAATATTTTTGTATTTTTAGTAGAGACAGAGTTTCAGTATGTTGGCCAGACTGGTCTCAAACTCCTGAAATCAGGCAATCCACCCACCTTGGCCTCCCAGTGTGCTGAGATCAGAGGCGTGAGTCACCACGCCATGCCCAGCCATTTTTAAAATAATAGCGTTATTGAAATATGATTAACGTATCATGCAATTCATTTATCAAAGTACGCAATTCAGGCCAGGTGCAGTGGCTAATTCCTATAACGCTAAGACTTTGGGCAGCTGAGGCAGGTGGATCGCTTGTGTTCAGGAGTTTGCGACTAGCCTGGGCAACATGGCAAAACAGCATCTCTAGCAAAAATACAAAAATTAGCTGGGTGTGGTGGCTCATGCCTGTAGTCCCAACTACTTGGGGACATGAGACTGGAAGATCACTTGAGCCCAGAAGCCATAGGTTGCAGTGAGACCAGATGGCACCACTGCACTACAGCATGGGTGACAAAAGGAGACCCTGTCTTTAAATAACTAAAGAAAAAAAGAAAGTATACAATTGAGTGGTTTTTAGAATATTCAAGGAGCTGTGCATTCATCACCACAGTCTTTCTTAGAAGTGATTACCCACTTGTAAGTTACCCACTTATGAGTGAGAAACCCTCACCTCTTAGCCACTACCTCCTACATACCCTATGTTCATAGGCAACCACTGATTTATTTTCTGTCATTGTAGTTTTGCCTAATCTGGACCTTTTATAGAAATAGAATTGTACAATGTGTGATCTTTTGTAATTTGCTTTTTTTCTCTTAGCAGAATATTTTCAAATTTCTTTCATGTTATAGTGTGTACCAGGATTTCTTTCCTTTTGTAGCTGAGTAATAGTTTATGTTTATCCATTCATTAGTTGATGGACATTTGTGTTGTTTTTGCGTATTCACCATCATGAGTCAGGCTGCTATGAACACTCGTACATAAGTTTTAGTGTGAACATATATTTTTATTTCTCTTGGATTTACACTCAGGAGTGAAATTGTCACATTATGTGATTACTATACATTTAGTCTTTGAGAAACTGTCACGTTGTTTTTCAAAGTGGTTACACTGGTCAGGCACAGTGGCTCACACCTTTAATCTCAGGTATTTGAGACACTGAGTTTGGAGGATTTTCTTAGCTTGGGAGTTCAGGACAACCCTGGGCAACATAGGGAAACAATGTCTTGATTTTTTAAAAAAATCAAATGCCAAGAAAACACCCAAATTGATTACACCATTTTATGTTCCCACCAGTAATGTATGTGAGTTCCAATTATTCCAATTGTCACCAACTTTTTTTTTTGAGACAAAATCTTGCTCTGTTGCCCAGGCTGGAGTGCAGTGACATGAACATGGCCAGTGCAGCTGTGACCTTCCAGGCACAAGTGATCCTCTCACCTCAGCCTCCTAAGTAGCTGGGGCTTACAGGTGCATGCTATCATGTGCAGCTGATTTTTACAGTTTTTGGTAGAAATGGGGTGTTGTCATGTAGCCCAGGTTTGTGTCAAACTCCTGAGCTCAAGTGATCTGCCTGCTTCAGCTTCCGGAAGTGCTGAGATTACAGGTGTGTGCCACCATGCCCGACTGGTGTAACCACTTTGGAAAGCAGCCACTGAGCCCGGCCTTCACCAGTATACCAATATTTGTTAATATCGTTTTATTTTTTACAATTTTTCCATTTTTAAAAACTTATTCTTTTACCTGTATTATTGATTATAATAAACAACGAATAATTTTGTAGTAGAGTTGAGTCCCCTCAAAAGGTATTTATTGTTTAACTGAAGTAGTTTTTTTTTTAACCTGGATATATATTTTTTCATTTTCACTTTATTTTTAGTGTTTATTTTAAAAAATTATTTATATGTATTTTTATTTTAATAGGTGTTTGAGAAACAGGTGGTGTTTGGTTCCATGAATAAGTTCTTCAGTGTTGATTTCTGAAATGTAGTACCCTTCATTACTCATTAAATTATATATTAAGTCATTATAAAATCATTAATAAACCAAGGACTTTAGTAAAATGGGAATTTTATTTTAACTTGCAACCTGGGACGTAACTGTCAAAAAAATTAGAGAAATTACCACATTAAGGTTTTAAAATCTTGAACTGAAAAATGAAAACCTTGGTGCACCTAAGAACCACCAGCCCACTGGTCAAAGTGAACAAAACTAAATGAAAAAATAAAACCAAGAAAACCAAACTCAGGATTATTAGGTATTCTGTAATGCTATTTTATCTTTGGACTCACAGAACATAATTATTATTATTATTACTATTATTATTATTATTATTTTGATATGGAGCCTCACTCTGTCACCCAGGCTGGAGTGCAGTGGCGCAATCTTGGCTCACTGCATCCTCTGCCTCCTGGGTTCAAGTGATTCTCCTGCCTCAGCCTTCAGAGTAGTTGGGATTACAGGCAGGTTCCACCATGCCTGGCTAACTTGTATTTTTGGTAGAGACAGGGTTTCACCATGTTGGCCAGGCTGGTCTGAAACTCCTGATCTCAAGCAATCTGCCGACCTCAGCCTCCCAAAGTGCTGGAATTACAGGCATGAGCCACTCTGCTCAGCTGAAAATAGTTAATTTTATGTATATTCCAAGTCAGAATACATCCTATTTTTGAATATTTGATGACTTTAGGATACTATATTAACTCTTAATTGAATTAATACAAGTTTAGATGTAAAGATGATGTTTATGTTGACAAAAATGATTAATGTTTTACATATATGAAAGTAACAATATCATATATTTTTCATACTTGTAGAATACTTTGAAATCTATTATTAGCTAATATTTTATATTCATTTTGGGTTTTCACATTATTGTTAGATCCAGAGAAAAGTAATATTTTGTGAATACTCAAATCATAAACATTTTGCTGGATGCATTCATAGATACTTTATTTAAAAAGTACACTAATTGAAGTTTTACACCATTTTATGATTCATCAAACACAGCAACTGAATACTGGCGTATAGCAACATTACAGATGATGTTAGTCTAAGATAAAACTCATAACACATTTTAAAAAGGGTAAAAGGAAGGAAAGGAAAAAGGATCCAAGGCTGTAGAAAGATTTTAAAAACAAACATCGTATGTCTGAACCTTTGCCTGGAGTTTCTTATTTTGTGAAAAGCAGTTTGTAAGTAGAGGACTCGTAAGTGCACCTAGTACACTGCAATGGCACAGACACGGCAGATAGTCAATAAAATGATCTTTAACTTCCGATCTAGGTTATTTTTGTTGTTGTTCATGTATTAACCTAGTGAATCTCAGCCAATAGATGGAGTGGCATTGACCTGCACAACTTCCAAAATCCCATCCAACCTTAGTGTCCTCTGAAGTTCTCCATAACTTATTGTCTGTTCCAACCAACATTTAGCATAAGCTACAGCTTATATTGTTAATAATTCTTCTATGTTTATGTGCTGATTTGCAAATAAATGGGCCTATATAGTCTTTATCTAGTGTTGGATTGGGATCAAAAGCTTCATGAAATCATTGTTTTTAGTATACGTACAGATGGATAATTGTATAAATAAGTACAGATGTGTATAAATGTGTGAGTATACATACATATATTTTCTAGCTCCTCTAACAAAAGGGCCTAGAAACAACATCATCCCAGTAACAATGAGAACACCATTCTCCAATTAAAGGAACCAAGGCTCCTTGGGGACATATTTGATATCAGGATTGGGCAGGGAAAATACAAGATTAGTTTGAAATATTTTGTCATGTTAGGAAGTAAGGAAATGCTCACAAAATGGAGAAGATGTGAAAGGGAAACAGATCCACTTTGAATAAACTTCCATAGCCCAATTTGAGAAAATTGGGGCAATAAAATAGATAACAATAGTAATATATTACAATCTACAGAAGAAAATTTTCAATTAATCCAGGCCGGGTGCGGTGGCTCATGCCTGTATTCCCAGCACTTTGGGAGGCAGAGGCGGGCAGGTCACTTGAGGTCAGGAGTTCGAGACCAGCCTGACCAATGTGGTGAATCCCTGCCTTCACTAAAAATACAAAAATTAGCCGGGCATGGTGGCACATGTCTGTAGTCCCAGCTACTCTGGAGGCTGAGGCAGGAGAATGGCTTGAATCCCGGAAGGTGGAAGTGCAGTGAGTGGAAATCGCACCATTGCACACCAGCCTGGATGACAAAACAGACTCCAACTCAAAAAAAAAAAATCCATATTGACATAAATAATAAACCAAAGATTGAGAATGGGTAGTATTTTATTACAGTAAGATTTCATTAAATGTAGGAGACATTAAATATAAGAATCATCACTTTGCAAATATCATAGTAATAATTGTTGCAAGAAAGAACCTTGGAGGGATGCTAAGATTAGTGGTGAATATATGTTGGGAAAGAACATATTTGCATAATATGAAAGTATCTTCCCACAAGATAATTATAGAATAATAACTTCAAAGTGGAGATGTCAACTTACCCAAGTGATCAAAGTTAACATTACTAATAATAAGATAAATGAACTTCATGTAACTTCTTATATGATGCACTGAGTAGGACAAAACATCAATTCTATGGTATTCTTAGACAAAATGTATAACTTTAGTCCTAACCGTGAGAAAACATCAGACTAACTGAAATTGAGGAGGGACATTCTACAAAATAACTGCCAGTATTCATCAAAAGCATTTTAGAAAGACTGAGGAATTCTCCAGAGACATGGAGGCATGTTATCTAAGTGCAATGGAGAACATGCATTGTATCATGAACCAGAGATGGACAACAGTAGGATATGTACAATAACACCCCAACATTTGAACATTAAACAAAATACTTCAGAAAAACCCATTGGCCAAGAAAAGTTTCACACACAAAAAAAATAGTTTAAAGTGAAAGAAAAATTTTTAAGAACTTAATAAAATGTGGGATGCAGATAAATCGTTTCTTAAAGGTACATTTATAGATGTAATATATTGAAAATAAAAGGCTTCAATCAATGACCTTTAGGTTCTTTTTTAAGAGGCTAAAAAATGAGCAAAGTATATCCAAATTAAGAAGAAGGAAGATGATAAAGATAAAAATGTAAACCAACAACATAGCAAATAACAAAAGGTGGAGCTAATTAATATACCCACAAATTGGTTATTTGAAAAAAAAATTTTTAATAAACAATGGCTAGCAAGATTTATCTCGAAAAAAATTAGAGAAGCTACATAATGTAGATAATGGGAATTAAATAGAGGATGTAACTACAGAACCTACAGACATCAATATAATTATGAAAACTTTAGGCCAATACATTTGACAATTAAAATAACATGGGAAATTATTTGTAAAACTAATTCTTAAAACTGATGCAAAATGAAATAGAAAAAGTAATAGCTTCTCTAAGTATTGAAGATTTTTTTTTAATTTAAAAATATTTCTATAATTACAGGCTACATGCTTTCTTAGGTGAATTCTATCAAACATTTAAGAAAGTACAGAGAGTCCTCAACTTACAGTGGTTTGACTTGTGCTCTTCTGACTTGATAATGGTGCTTTCATCTGTGTACATTAATGATGAGCATCAATATGACCAGTTTTTCACTATCAGTATAGTTTTCAATAAATTTCATGAGATACTGAATATTTTAAAATGGGCCTTGTGGTAGATGATTTTGCCCAATTGTAGGATAATGTAAGTGTTCTGAGCAAGTTTAGGGTAGGCGAGTCTAAGTCATGATATTCAGTAGGTTAAATATATTAAATGCGTTTTAGACTTACAATATTTTCAATTTAGGATGAGTTCATTCAGACATAAGACAATTGTAAGTTGAGGAGTATCTATAATATCAATCTTGAATGGACTCTTTTTAAGAAATAGAATTTAAGGGCCGGGCACAGTGGCTCACACATGTAATCCCAGCACTTTGGGAGGCCAAGACGGACAGATCACCTGGGGTCAGGAGTTTGAGACCAACCTGACCAGCATGGAGAAACCCCCGTCTCTACTAAAAGTACATAATTAGCAGGGCATGGTGGTGCTTACCTGTAATCCCAGCTCCTCGGGAGACAGAGGCAGGAGAATAGCTTGAATCTGGGAGGCAGAGATTGTGGAGAGCCGAAATTGTGCCATTGCACTCCAGCCTGGGCAACAAGAGTGAATCTCCGTCTCAAAAAAAAAAAAAAAAAAAAAAAAGAAAATTTAAAGGGACATTTCCTATCTTATTTTATGAACCCAGTATTGCCGATTCCAAATCAAGACAAAGGCATTATACAACTTTGATGTTTATCCCTCATAAACATAGACTCAAAAGTCCTTAAAACATAATAACCAATTGAATGTAGCAGTACATAGAATGGATAATAAACTGTGAACAAATTAAATTTCTAGCAAGATTGCAAAGTTAATTTATTATTTGAAAGATCAGTTTAATCAATTTTATTCACCTGGATGGTTACATCTGGCAAAACTCAGCAAACTGTGCACTTTAAAATAGTATTTATTTTATGTAAATTATGTTTCAATACAATTGATTTTTTAAAAAAAAACTTTTCCCAGAGTGATCTAAGTGGAGGGCAGGGAACAGTAAACATCAGTGCTTATGTTATAGCTACTAGAAGCCTCCCAATTCCAACGACATGCTTTCAAGCAGGTCTGATCCTTCCCCTGGAGGATACCTCTGACCCAGGTGTGCTACAAATGCATTGCCCCTAGTTGCTTCTGTCACCTTAGTGATGGAAGTGACAAGAGGGTACTGGAGAAAGAAAAGGTGTACAAGGTTCCAAATGTACATTCTATTTCCAAAGGACATTTGTGAAGCCAGTGGAAAGCGAACAAACAAGCTGCTAAATAAGTCACAAGTGTGTTCTCGTACAGTTTTGCGATTAACTAAATAGGACATTCAACAGATAAAATTTGTTTTACATAGTTACTCCTCTAATAGGATGAACCTGTGGATTGTGAGATAGGGCTGATATAACCTGTTTTCTCTCTGCCTCTTTTTTTCCCCCAAGTTTTGTGTGCAATACATTAGGAAAAATATAATTGGGCTACAAAGCTACAAAAATGGCTTCCTGGCAGTCCCATGCTTGTTTCCATGTGGTGCCTATGTTTGGCACTGTGTTCTCATTTGCACTTTCCTACTTGATTAGTTAATGTATGAAGGACAAGCCTGATCTCTACTGTGAATTTTTACCAAGGTATTCTAGTAGAAAAATGAGTATGTAATGGTGCTGTGGAATGCTAAAGTGTGTAAAACATTAAGAATCTAAAAATATGCTCATTTCCAAGTTTTGTCCCAGAGCAACTGTGCACTCTGATTATATCGCTACTGCTATTTAAAGTTATCAATTTGCATGTCTAAAAAATAGATTCATACTGATTGTCCCATTTTGATCTCAAAAAACTCCTGAATATGAGAGTCGTGATCAAGGGACGCTTCATGAAATGTTCCAAAGTTAAAGTGTGCAATGAAACCAGATTTATCATAGCCTTATTTAAAATAATTATTTCTAAAATTGTTATTGTTTAATTATAAATGGTATCCTTTCAGGATACTTGGAAGATCCATAGCAGTGTTTTTATTTTCACAGAACAAGCATAAATTATTTATGAAATAATAACTCAGATACAGAGATTACTTCCTATTGGCCTTACATATGAATATAAATAAATACATATTATGAACATGAGCATACTTATTTTATAATTATGTAAATGTGTGTGTAATGTTATATATAAGTTCAATAAAGTCATGCTTATACATGGTTTCAATTCATGCTTCTAAAAACCACTCAATGTAGTCATTATCATATGTTAATAAATAATCTCTGAAAATGTGCTTCTAGTAGTTGCACAATATTGCATCTTAAAGATTGTCATGCTGTTTTTAAGTCATACTTTTGGGTATATAAATTATATCTGATATTTTTCTGCTACATATATACTATTATAAATCTATTAGTAGCTGATTTTTTGTCAACACATATGATTGTTTCCTCACAATAGTACAAGAGTTGGTTGTAACTTTATTTCCTTCCAACATTTATTTTAGGTTCAGCGGGTACATGTGCAGGTTTATTATATGGGTAAAATGTGTGTCAATGGGATTTGGTGTACAGATTAAGTAGTCATCCAGGTAGTGAACGTAGTATCTAATAGGGAGTTTTTTGATCCTCACTCTCCCCCCCACCCTCTACCCACAGTAGACCTTGTGTCTATTGTTCCCTTCTCTATGTCCATGTGGACTCAATGTTTAGCCCCCACTTATAAGTGAGAACATGCAGTGTTTGTTTGGTTTTCTGTTCCTGCATTAATTCACTTAGAATAATGGTATCCAGCTCCATTCATGTTGCTGCAAAAGACATTATTTCATCCTATTTTATAGGTGTGTAGTATTCCATGGTGTATGTACGCTGCATTTTTTTAATCCAGTCTTCTGTTAACAGGCATCTAAGTTGATTCCGTGTCTTTGCTATTGTGAATAGTGTTATAATGAAAATATGCATGCATATGTCTATGACAGAATGATTTATATTCCTTTGGGTATATACCCAATAATGGGATTGCTGGGTTGAATGGTAGTTCTGTTTTAAGTTATTTCAGAAATCTCCAAACTGCCTTCCACAATGGCTGAACAAATTTACATTCCTGATGAAACTGGAGACTTCCCTGACTCCCCTTGGCAGAATGTGCAACAGGGGTGTGGCTTGTCTGGCCACCGTGTGTGCTGTCAAACCCCTTACTGGGCAGGGGAGCATGCAGACAGGCAGGTGCAATAGGCAGGGCAAGTGGCCATGGTACTGTCTAGGGGTGGGTTCCTGCGACTCCCACAGCACAAGTGGGCATGTGTTACAGTGCACTCTTTTAGCTTTGCCATCCACAGACAGCTTAAGTGTTAACCTGTTCAGTGCCCTCTTGGTACCCAGTTCCTTGTCCAGCATCCAGAAAGAATTAAGTTGCACACAGACTTGAGGATGGTGAATGTGGGGGTTTTATTGAGTGGTGGAGGTGGCACTCAATGGGATGGATGGGGAGCTGGAAAGGGGATGGAATGGGAAGATGATCTTCCCCGGGAGCTTTGCCATCCAGAGGCTGATCTCTCCAACCACTGCCAGCCAAACTCCTCTTGGCATTCAGATGCTCCTTCTCTTTTTTCTGCCACATCATTCTGCAATTCTGCTCTTCTGTTCATCTCCTCATCTGCTTGTCTGCTTCTGGAGCCTGGGGTCTGGGTCATATATGGGTACAGGACAGGGGGTGCATGGTGAGCTGAAAGACAATTTTGGGTGCAAAAGCAGGAATGCCTGTTCCCATTTAGGGCCATGGGTTTCCAGGCTTGTGGGCACGGCTTTGCCAGGGAACCACTCTCTTCTACCCAGTATTTCCCTGTCTCCTTTCTATATCACCACCAGCAGTGTATAAGCATTCCCTTTTTTCCACAAACTCGGCACCGTCTGTTATGTTTTGATTTTTTAATAATAGCCATTCTGACCGGTGTGATATGGTATCTCATGGTTCTGATTTTCTGATGATTAGTGATGTTGAGTATTTTTTCATATGGTTGTTTGCCATACATACTTTGTCTTTTGAAAAAAGAATCCACAGACAGCTTAAGTGTTAACCCGTTCAGTGCCCTCTTGGTACACAAGTCCTTGTCCAGCATCCAGAAAGAAGTTGCACATGGACTTGAGGATGGTGAATGTGGGGGCTCATGTTCTTTGCCTATTTGTAGTGGGTTTGTTTTTTGCTTATTGATTCTTTATACATGCTAAGTATTAGACCTTTTTCAGATATGTAATTTGAAAATATTTTCTTCTGTTCTGTAGGGTGTTCTCTGTTGATAGTTTCTTTTGCTGTGCTGAAGCTCTTTAGTTTCATTAGGTCCCACTCGTCAATTCTTCTTGTTGCAATTGCTTTTGGAACCTTCATCATGAAATATTTGCCTGCGTCTATGTCCAGAATGATATTTCCTAAGTTTTCTTCTAGGGTTTATATAGTTTTGGGTCTTACATAAGTCCTTCATCCATCTTGAGTTCATTTTTGTATATGGTGAAAGGAAGGGAGTGTACATGCCCCTGTGATATTGTTCCTAATATGCAGGTTGGGAGAGGATATTATACTCAATATTGCAGGAAGTGTCGACCACCCTGAATATTGCTTTTAATATCCGGGGAGAGAGGGTGATATTACTCCCAATATCATCCTCTCCCCCCACACCCTGCATAGTACAAGCAATATCAAAGGGGGTCTGTGCAACACGTGCAATATTGGGAGTAATATCCTCCCCCAACATGGATATTAGAAACAGTATCACAAGGGGTTGTACACCACCTGTGATATTGTGGAGTACTATCATTTTCTTTCCCCATGGATATGTAGAACAATATCACAAAGGTGGTGTACAACCCCTGCTATATTGGGAGTAATACTGTACTTTCCCCACCTAGATATTAGGAACAATATCACGGGGGGTTATACACCACTGCAACATTGGGAGTAATATCATCCTTTCCCTCCCTGGATATTAGGAACAATACCTCATGGGTGTGTACACCCTGTTCCATATTGGGATTAATATTTTCTCCCTTGCTGGACATAAGGAAAAATATAACTGGGGGTATACACTCCTTATGATATTGCCAGTAATATTATAGACTCCCCAAAGGGATATTAGAAAGAGTATCAGAGAGGGGTGTACATCCCCTGCTATATTGGGAATAATATTCTTTCTTTCCCTGGATATTAGGAATAATATCACAAAGGGGTTGTATACCCCCCGTGACATTTTAATTAATATCATCTTCCCCACTGAATATTAGGAACAAATTCCCAGGGGATTGTACACCACCTGCAATATGGACGGCTATATCATTGTCTCTCCCCCGAATATAAGGAACAATATCACAAGGGGGTTGTACAACCCCTGTGATATTGGGAGTAACTTTATACCCTTTCCACATGGATATTAGGAACAATATCACAGGGTGGGTGTACACCCACTGCGATATTGGGAGTAATATCATCCTCTACCCCCTGGGTATTATGAACAATATCATGGGGAGGGGGTGTATGCCCTCTGTGATATTGGGAGTAATATCATCCTGTCCCCTCTGGATATTAGGAAGGATATCACAGCGGGGCTGTACCTTTCTGCACTATTGGGAGTGGTATCACCCTCTCCCCCTATGGATATTAGGAACAATATCACAAAGGGGGTGTACACATCCTGCGATATTGAGAGTAATATTGTCCACTCTTCCCCGGAATATTAGGAACAATATCACAGGCAGAGTGTACACCCCCTGCTATTTTACCTGTAATATTATTCTCTCCCAACCTGGATATTAGGAATAATATAACAGGAGGGTTGTACACCACTTGTGATATTGGGAGTAATATCATTCTCTCCCCCCATGGATATTGAGAACAATATCACAGGGGCAGCTTACACCTCCTGCGCCATTTAGAGTAATATCATCCTTTTCCCCCATGGATATTAGGAACGATATCGCATGGGAAGTGTACACCCCCGCCATATTGGGAGTAATATTTTCTCCCTTGCTAGACATTAGGAACAATATCACGGGAATGCACACACCCTGCGATATTGCCAGTAATATCGTAGTCTCCTCCCAGGATATTAGGAACAATATCACAAGGGGGGTGTACATGCCCTGTGATATTGGAAGTAATATCATCGACTCCCCCAACGGATATTAGTAACAATAGCAGAAGGGGTGTACAACCCTTGCAATATTTATAGTACTATCATCCTATACCCCCTGGATATTAGGAACAATACCACGGGGAGGTGTATACCCACTGTGATATTGGGAGTAATTTCATCCTCTACCCCTTGGATGTTAGGAGCAGTATCACAAGGGGGGTGTGCACCCTCTGTGATATTAAAAATAATACCATTCTCTCCTTCTGTGGATACTAGGAATAATATCACAGTGCTGGTGTACACCCTTTACACTATTTGGAGCAATATCACCCTCTCCCCAACTTGATATTAGAGACAATATCATGGGGGGTGGCGTGTAACACCCTGCACTGTTGGGAGTACTATCATCTACTCTTCCCCTGGATATAAGAAACAGTATCACAGAAGGGGTCTACACCTCCTGAGATTTTGGGAGTAATATCATCCTCTCCAAATCTGGATATTAAGGACAGTATAATGGGGTGTGGGGAGTAATATGGTGGGAGTAATACAATCCTCCTCCCCACTTGATATTAGGAACAATATCGCAAAACGTGTGTACACCCACTGTGACATTTGGAGTAATATCAACATTTCCCCACCTGGTATCACGGGGAGAGTGTACACTCCTTACGATATTGGAAGTATCATTGTCTCTCACTCTCGATATTAGGAAAAATAGCACAGGGTGTGTATACACTTCCTGTGATTTTGGGAAGAACATCATACCCTTCTGTCTTTGATATTAGGAACAATATCACAGAGGGGGTGTACAACTTCTGTGATATTATAATATTCTTTCTTCCCATGGATATTAGGAATGATATCCCGGGGGGCTTGTTGTACACCCCCTGTGATACGGACAGTAATATCATTGTCCTTCCCCCTACATATTAGAAACAATATCACAAGGGTGGTATACACCCCCTGGATATTAAAAACTATCACAGGGGGGCTGTACAACCTCTTTGATACTGTGAGTAATACCATTGTCTCCCCTCCTGGGTATTAATAACAATATCATAGGGTGGGTGTACACCCCCTGCAATATTGGGAATAATATCATCCTGTCTTCCCCGGGATATTAGGAACGGTATCACAGGTGGGGTTTACACCCCCTGCAATTTTGTCAGTAATATTACTTCTGGATGTTATTGAATATATCACAGTGGGGGTGTACACCCCCTGTGATATGGGGAGTAATAGCATCCTCTTTCCCACTGGATACTACAAACAATATCGCAGATTGTGTACAACCTCCTGTGATATTGTTCACAATATTTAGGGAAGGAGAGGATGATATTACTCCACATATCGCAGGGAGTGTTACATCCCCTGTAATATTGTTCATAATATTTAGAAGACGACAGGATGATATTACTCCCAATATAGTAGGAAGTATACACTCCCCTGTGATACTGTTCATAATTTTTAGGGGATTAGAGGATGATATTCCTTCCAATATCACAGGGAGTGTACACTGGTGATATTGTTTATAATTTTCAGTGGATTAGAAGATATTATTCCGAATATCACAGGGGTTGTACATCCCCAAGTGATATTGTTAATATCCAGTGGGAAAGAGGATGATATTACTCCCCATATCACGGGGGATGTAAACCCGTTTGTGGTATTGTCACTTACATCTGGGGGGGAGAGGATGATATTACTCTGCATATCATAGAGGGTGCACACGGCTGTAATGTTGTCCATAATAACATCCAGAGGGGAAGAGAATATTATTCCCATGTTTCAGAAGGTGTACACACCCCTGTGATAGTCTCTGTAACATTTAGGGAAGAAGGGGATGATACTACTCCAGATATTGCAGGGGGTGTACACCCCCCTGTGATACTGTTCATAACGTTTAGGGGAAAGAGGATGATATTACTCCCCATATCGAAGGGATTGTACATCTCCCTATATATTGTCCATAACATCCAGGACAGGAGAGGATATTACTACTCCCCATATCACAGGGGGTGGACAACCCCCTCTAAATATGTCTAACATCCAGGCGGGAACAGGAGGATATTTTTCCCCATAACCCAGAGAAAGTAAACCTCCTGCGATATTGTCCATAACATCCAGTGGGGGGAGGATGATATCACTCCCCATATTGCAGGGGGTGCACACTCCACTCTGATATTGGCCGTAATATCCGGGGGGGTGAAGTATGAAGTCACTACACATATCGCAGGGATTATTAGTATCAGATTGTTTGAAGGGCTCACAGTAAGGGTAGTAGTAGGGCGAGTTCTAACTCAAATAGGGGAAATGTGATGGCTACTAGAAAGAATTTTATGGAGAAGGGAATGTGGGCAGAGGATAGAGGGTCAAATCTGCATTCATAAGGGCTAGATTTTTCTATATATATTTATTTTATACATATATATATATTTTTTTCTCTCTCTCTACATATATATATTAAGTTGTGGGAGCCAAAATGTAATAATTATTAGTAACAGGGCAAATAGGGTGTTGATTACTAGGGTTAATGTTAGGTGAATTACTGTTTTTCGGATGCTATCAAAACTTTGGAAATCATGGTACTATTTATACTAAAAGAGTAAGATCCTCATCAATAAGTAGAAACATACAAGAATAGTCATACTACATCTACAAAGTGTCGATATCAGGCAGCGGATTCAAAGGCAAAGTGATGACTAGATGTAAAGTGGTATTTTAATTGGCGGAGAAGGCAGACTGAGGAATGTTGACCCAATAATGACGTGAATTCTGTGAAAGCCTGTAGCTATAAAAAATGTTGAGCCATAAATACCATCAGAAATAGCAAAGGGAGCTTTGAAGTATTCTGAGACTTGTAGGAGGGTGAAGTAAATATCTAATATAATTGTAACAGGTAGTGCTTGGATTGTATGTTTTTGATTATTTTTTGTTAGGCTGTGATGGGCTCAAGTAATTGAAACTCCTGATGCAAGTAATACAGATGGATTCAGGAGAGGTACTTCCAGGGTGTCAAGGGGAGAAATACCTGTTGGGGGTCAATGCCCTCTTAATTCTGGAGTAGGGGCTAGGCTAGAATGGTAGAATGCTCAAAAGAATCCAGCGAAGAGGAATATTTCTGAGATAATAAATAGGACTGTCCCATATTGGAGGCCTTTTTGAACAGTTGTTGTATGGTGACCCTGAAATGTACTTTCTCAGATATGGAACACCCTTGGTCAATTGAATACAGATCAATCACTTTAAGTAAGCTAAGTCCTTACTAAATTGATGAGACTTAAACCCATGAAAACTTAACAGCTAAACTCCCTAGTCAACTGGTTTGAATCTACTTCTCCAGCCGCTGGGGGAAAAAGGGTGAGAGAAGCAGGATTGAAGCTGCTTCTTTGAATTTACAATTCAACATGAAAATCACCTTGGGACTGGTAAAAACAGGCGTTGACCTCTGTTTTTAGATGTACAGTCTAATGCCCTACTCAGTCATTTTACCCTTTTTTCTCACTTCATTTATGTTGGCTGACAGTTGACTATTCTCAACCAACCATAAAGATATCGGGACATTATATTTATTATTTGGCACATGAGCAGGGATAGTCAGTACAGCTTTAAGCCTTATTCGAGCTGAACTCTACTAGATGATCAAATTTATGTCATTGTTATAGCGTATGCATTTGTCATAATTTTCTTTATAGTAATACTATAATTGGAGGTCTTGGCAACTGATTAGTCCCCCGATAATTGGCGCCCCCGATATAGCATTTCTCTGCATAAATAATATGAGCTTCTGACTCCTCCCACCCTCCTTCCTATTATTACTTGCATCCACTATAGTAGAAGCCGGCACTGGAACCGGCTGAACAGTCTCTCCTCCCTTAGCAGGAAACCTAACACATGCAGGCGCCTCTGTAGATTTCACTATCTTTTCACTCCACTTGACAGGTGTTTCTTCTACTTCAGGGGCTATTAACTTTATTACCACAATTGTTAATATAAAACCCCCAGCCATGTCCCAATATCACACACCCCTCTTCATCTGATTAGTCCTAATTACAGCAGTTCTTCTACTCCTTTGTCTCCGAGTCCTAGCCGCCAGCATCACTATATTGTTAACTGACTGCAATCTTAATACTATTTTTTTCTACCTGGCTGGAGGAGGTGATCCTGTCTTATTTCAGCATTTATTCAGATTCTTTGGTCACCCTGAAGTCTACATCCTCATCCCACTGGGCTTTGGGATAATTTCCCACGTCGTAACATACTATTCTGGAAAAAAAAGAACCATTCAGGTATATGGGCCTAGTGTGAGCTATAGGATCAGTTGGATCCTTACAGTTTATTGTATGGGCCCACCGTATATTTACGGTAGGGATAGATGTGGATACATGAGCCTGCTTCACCTCTGCTATTATAATTATTGCTATTCCTACTAGCGTCAAAGTTTTTAGCTGACTAGCTAGCTACACTTCACGGCGGTAATATCAAATGATCCCCCGCAATGCTGTGAGCCCGGGGATTTATTTTCCTTTTTACAGTAGGAGGCCTAACCAGCATTGTATTGGCTGAGGCTTATATTATGGTTCATTCATATATTTAGAAACCTGAAAGTTTCTAAATAAGTTGTAAAAAAGTTGTAAAAACACCCCAGCTGAAATAACTACGAAGGTGCCTTTAATATTCTGAAGACAAAATAGCTAAGATCCAAACTGGGAGTAGATACCCCGCTATGCTTAACTCTAAACTCGAATAGTTAGATCAACAAAACTGTTGGCCAGAACACTACAAGCAACAGCTTAAAACTCAAAGGACTTGGCGGTGCTTTATAGCCCTCTAAAGGAGCCTGTTCTATAATCGATAAACCGCAATTTACCTCACCACCTCTTACCCAGCCTAAATACCTCCATCTTCAGCAAACGCTGGAAAGGCCGCAGAGTAAGCACAAGTATCTACATAAAAACTTTAGGTCAAGGTGTAGCCCATGAGGTGGCAAGAAATGGGAACGTTTTCTACATCCAGAAAAATGTCGCGACAACCGTTATGAAATCTAAGGGCTCAAGGAGGATTTAGCAATAAATTGAGAGCAGAGTGTTTAATTGAATAAGGCCATGAAGCATGCACACACCGCCCGTCACCCTCCTCAAATATATTCTAGAAATTCATTCTACACCCCCCTGTGATATTGTCCATAATATCCAGGGAGGGAGAGAATGATTTGATTTTTTTTTTTTTTTTTGAGACAGAGCCTTGCTCTGTCGCCCGGGTTGGAGTGCAGTGGCCTGATCTTGGCACACTGCAAGCAACGCCTCCCAGGTTCACACCATTCTCCTGCCTCAGCCTCCCTAGTAGCTGGGACTACAGGCGCCCGCCACCGCGCCCGGCTAATTTTTTGTATTTTTAGTAGAGACGGGGTTTCACCATGTTAGCCAGGATGGTCTCGATCTCCTGACCTCGTGATCTGCCCGCCTTGGCTTCCCAAAGTGCTGGGATTACAGGTGTGAGCCACCGCTCCTGGCCAGAGAGAATGATTTTACTCCCCATATCGCAGGGGATTTACATTCCCCTGCATTATTTTTCGTAATATCCAGGGGGAAGATGAAGATGTTACTCCCCATATAGCATGGGAGAACAATTCCCTGTGATATTGTTCATAATATCTCTGGGGGGAAAGAACTATATTTCTCCTTTTATCGCAGGAAGTGTACACCCCCTTGTGATATTGTTTATAATATCTAGTGGGGGAGAGGATGATGCTACTCCCCATATTGCAGGGGGTGTACAACCCCCTAGAATATTGTTCATAATATCCACGTGGGGAGGAGATGATGTTACTACACATATCGCCAGGGTGTACTGCCCCCTGCCATATTGTTTGTAATATCCAGGCTGGGAAAGGATGATATTACTCCCTGTATCACAGGGGATGTACACACCCCTGTGATATTATTAGTAATATCCACGGGGGAGATAATACTACTTCCAATACCATAAACACCCTGTGTGTACACCCTCTGTGATATTTTTTGTAATATCCAGGGTGGGAGAGGAGTATATTACTCCCTATAAGGCAGAGTGTGTATACACCCCTCTGTGATATTGTTCATAATATCCACTGGGGGATATGATATTACTCCCAATATCATAAACACCTCACATGTACACCGTCTGTGATATTATTTGTAATATCCAGTGGGGGAGAGGATGATATTACTTTCCACATCGCAGGGGGTTTACACCCCTCTGTGATACAGTTTGTAATATCTAGAGGGGGAGAGGGTGATATTACTCCTCATATCTCAGGACATGTACACCCCCCTGTGATATTGTTTGTAATATTGTTCCCAATATCCTTTTCCCCCGTGGATATAGGAACAGTATCGCATAGGACGTGTACACCCCCTGCCATATTGGAAGTAGTAGTGTTTTCTCCCTTGCTGGACATTAGGAACAATACCATGGGGGGGTGCACACCCCCTGCGATATTGACAGTAATGTAATCCACTATCCCCTAAATATAGGAACAATATCACAATGGGGATGTACACACTTGGCGATATTGAAAGTGATATGATCCTCTCCCCACCTGGATATTAGGAACAATATCACAGAAGGGGTGTACACCCCCTGCGATGTTGACAGTAATATCCTCTCCCACCCCCGGATATTAGGAGCAATATCACAGAAGGGTTGTACACTCCCTGCGATATTGACAGTAATATCCTCTCCCCCCTGGATATTAGGAACAATATCACAGAAGAGGTGTACACCCACTGTGATATTGACAGTAATTTCCTCTCCCCCCCCCGGATATTAGGAACAATACCATAGGGGGTGTACACCCCCTGCAATATTGACAGTAATATCATCCTCTCCCCCCCAGATATTAGTAACAATATCACTGAAGGGGTCTACACCCCCTGTGATAGTGACAGTAATATCCTCTCCCCCCCCAGATATTAGGAACAATAACACGGGAGGATGTACACCCCCTGTGACATTGACAGTAATATCAACCTCTCCCCCCACCCCGGATATTAGGAAGAATACCACCGGGGGTGCACACCCCCTGTGATATTGAGAGTAATATCACCCACTATCCCCTAAATATTAGGAACAATAACCCAAGGCAGGGAGTACACCCTCTGCGATATTGGGAGTAATGTCATCCTTCCCCTGCCCCTGCATACTAGGAATAATATCACAGGGGATGTACACCCCCATACGCTATTGGGAGAAACATCACTCTTTCTTCCCATGGATATTAGGAACAATATCACAGAAGTAGTGTACACACGCTGCACTGTATAGAATAAAGCAGGCGGAGGAAGATGGGATAACCTTGCTAGCTGAAGCTTCTGGCTCTCTTTTTTTCTTCTTCCCGTGCAGGACACTTGCTTCCCTTCTTCCTGCCCTCGGACATGAGACTCCAGGTTCTTACGCCTTTGGACTCTGGGACTTTCACCAGCGGCTTCCCCGAGGCTCTCAGGCCCTCGGCCTCATACTGAAGACTGCACTGCGGGCTTTCCTGGTTTTGAGGCTTTTGGACTTGGACTGAGCCACTACTAGCTTCTCTCTTTCCCTACCTGGCAGACAGCCTATTGTGGGACTGCCTTCTAACCGTGTGAACCAATTCTCTCTCGTAAACTCCCTTATACATATACGTGTATCTTGTTGGTTCTGTCCCTCTGGAGAACCCTGACTCATACATTTTGTTTATTTTTTCTCCATTGCCCTTTCCTCTGCTTCTAGGCTTACCTAGACCACCACCATTCTTTCCCCCTTTCTAAAGTAAAAGTTGTTTTTTTCTCACTAAATGCATGGTATTCTGCCCGTTTTCCATGGCTTCCCTCAGTCCTGCTCTGTTTATTCTTGCTATCTTAAGAGGAAATCCCTGCCTCTTCCGTGGCTTTTCCCACTTGGCCTACATACTGGTTTCTGTTGTTCTCAGAGACACACTGAGACCTTTCACATCTCACTGTCACTTCTTGGAAGGGCTCTCTACCTCATCTGCCTGCTGAGCAACCTCTTGGGGAGACGCAGGCCCTCTTGAGTCACTGAACTTGAGCTATATGGTGTTGGTATGTTAATTTATCTTCTTAGACCACTTATCACTTCTTTAACTTCAAAAGAGGAGAATAAGTATTATTTTCCATGGTTGATATGAAGAGTAGAAATAACTTATACCAAATGCATTGTAGTTAAGTGATAATAAATGGCCGTGAATGCCCTTATTAATGTTATTCTATCAGTCTCGGCTCAGATAGCATCTGCTCTGTAAGCTCTGCTCTGAATCATATCTGCTTCTTCTCTGGGTTCCTTGTGCTCTGTTCTTAACTACTTTAAAGCAGTAATTGTTCTGATTCTAATTAGTGATCCTTCCCAATAAAATTTTAATTTTGTAGATCTCTTCCCCTTACCCCTGCCGCAGCCTAACCAGTGTTTTCTTACTTTTTTGTGTACAAGCTACATCACTGGTCTTTTATTTGTGGCTAAATAAATGTTGTGTTAGAAGAGTAAAGAGTTCCCAGTTACATGGGATCTATAGTTCTACAAAATGAATGTATACATAATCCATGTAAATATTTCACTTATTTTAAAACAATTTTTTAATTTTTAAATTAAATTTAATTTGTGCATGTGTGTGAGACCAGAGTGAGACCAGAGATTGCGGCGGTGAGGGGCGGTGGTCTCACCATGTTGCCCAGGCTGGTCTTGAACTCCCCTTCAAGTGCCCCCCTCCTCACCTGGCCCCCCTCACCTTGCCTCCTCCCCCTCACTCCTATGCCAGCCCCTGCCATTCCCTACCCCCTCTGTTGACCGCAAGACTCAACAAGTGACTTGCTGAGCAAACCCTGCTGAGAAGAGGTCTGTTTAGGGACACAGGAGGCCAAGTACACAAAAAAGCAAAAGAACTAGCATGCCTTTTTCAATGGATGTCTATTTTACAGGGCTGGCTTCAGATTATTGTTATAGCTTTAAATAAAAGGACCGTTTTGTCATCTCGGCCCATGGCCTACATTATTTCTTTACTGTCCATTGCCCTGGGCGCTTGACTAATAATTTAACAGCAATTTTTTTTTTAAATTTTAAATCATGATTCATTGCATTGCTGTAAGAGTAATTAGAGGTAAATTAGGGCTTGAAACTGCCTGTAGTGGGTTACTTTCTGAGATCTTAGTATAATTATCAGGTGAGAGGGTGAAGTTTTAATCAGCGCTAAGTGGGATAGAAATTCAATGCACTGAAACTGTAGTGTCCAATTCAGTAGGCGCTAGCCACCTGTAACTGTTGAGCACTTGAAATCCTGGCTAGTCCTAATTGAGATGTGTTGTGTTAAATATACTGGATTTTGTCATTGGAGTGGGAAGAACAGCGTAGAATATCTGCTTGATAATTTTTTATATTGATTACATGTTAAAATTATTACTATGATTACTATTTGGGACATACTGAGTTAAGTATATTTAAAATTAATTTCACCTTTTAATGGGGCTTACTAGTACATTTAAAATTACATATGTGGCTCACATATTTATTGGACAGCACGGCTCTAGAAGTTTAGGAAGAAATAAGAAAAATATTGAGAATAGGTAGCAACAGTAGGAAGTTTGACCTCCTGTAAGACTGATTCCAATAAAACTAATAGGTGATAGTTTTAATTGGCTTTTTCCTACTAGAAAAAGTAAGTGTACTTTACGTGTCTCTTTGTTCTCCCTCTTTCCCCTTCAATTTAGTGGTTAGCGTGTATTTACTATATCAGGCTTAAAATTCACTAAGCAGTGTTAAGAAGACTTAGGTAAATGATTCCCTGAAGAACACACTTGATTTTCAAAGCACCTTCCTAACCCATTTTTAATTGGAATAGAGTCAAAGGTAGATGGCTTATTAGTAGTCATCTCATTTAAACCTCATGGAATTTTCCTGCTAAATCTCAAAGTAAACAATTTGTTATAGGCTGTTTTGTCAAGTGCATGGAAGGGACAGCATAAGACATGTGGTACTTAATTTCAAAATTGCTTGAGATGGTTTTCATTATAATCATACATTATTTGCTTCTGGTTTTCCAGAAAAGCCAGCTAAACCTGTGGTTCATTTAGATATAAATGAAATATCCTCAAAGGATTGCTCAAAGTGACTTATGCAACTTGAATATATATTTTTTTCTGTAGGGTGTTTATTCCAAATTATCTGGCCATTTGTGGCAATTTGCAGTTTTTTAGAAAACACCAAATATTTTTCAAGTTAGAGATGTTTTAATAAAAACAGTCATATTGAACTGGAAGCAGCCAAATAAAATGGCCCTTTATTTCACAGTTGAGAATTTGAAATTGGAAGGTAATTAACATATGTAAGGATGATGTATTTGCTGCCTGGCTTATAGGAAGGAGCCAAGGTGTTTTTTGAGGGATGTTGTTGCTGTGTATGTCCCACCTATTTTGCTTCCTTAATGAACAATGCAAGTTTGAGACAGAAATATTTGAGAACATTTTTATCAGTTGCGACATTTTGATAGTGAACATTTTATATCTTCTGTCAACTTAAAATGTTTGCATCTTCTGTCTGCTTAAAATGTTTAATTTGTTATAGCCAAATAATTTGGTTATAATTGAGAATTTAATTTATCAAATTAAATTGCTTTTTTTCCCTTTAGACTTTCTTCAGTCACATCTGAATAAATCACTTAGAAGTAAGCTAGATGTAATATAATGAAATGCTTAAAAGGGCTGTGTATCTTCATATTACACTTACAGTGATTTTCTGTTGTACCCATTATATTCTACCTGCAGCTAGTTGAGGTAAAGAGAGGGCATTTAACTGTCAAGGGAACCTGTGAGGAGACTGTAGAAATCTGGAAAGTCTCTTGAGTCTTTGAGGGATTTTGGGATGCAGAGAGTGGGGCTGGGATCTCTGGCTAGGTTGGAGCCAGCCTGCATTTGTATCTTTATCTTGGAAGCAAACTTAGAATGCAGAGATAGATGTGGCCTGGATGCTGCTAACTCTAGCCAACCACTAAATCTTAAGGTGGGAGAGATGCAGGCTTTGGCTGTGTGCTAAGCTGCTGTAGCTGGTTGAATGTAGAGGTCACTATCTTTTCTGAATACTTGTAAGTAAATTAAATCATTCTCTACTCCTGTATGCCTGCCAACCAAATGGGAAATCGCTATAGAAAAGATGGTTTAAATTTTAGTCTTTGAAGTGGTTAATGCACGTTTCTGGAATCAAGATTTAATGTGGACTTGGATTGGATATTGAATATTTTTGATTTGTCTACTTTTCTCTCCATAGGGAGCTTATAGCTTCATTGCACTGTGTGTGGCATTTGGGTCCTGTTTGGCAGCAATGACTGCCTTTCTGTTTAGTGTCTGTGTGCTATGAAGATTGCACACAGGGGTCCAGATGCATCCTGTTTTGAGAATGTTAATGGATACACCAGCTGCTGCTTTGGATTTCACCCATTGGCGGTTTCTATAAAAACTTTAGACACAGTGAGCCACTCTTCTCAGGGAATGGTGGAAACCCTCCCAATTCCAATTTCCTAAACACCACCCAAGGGCCAGCCTTGCATGCAGGCCTTTCTAAGGATGGCAGTCTCTTGCCTGTTACATGAAATCTTTTCTGCACACTTTGTATAGCCCCACCTTAATTTTTGGTGTTGTTTTAAAATTTCATTTTAATAACATAATATTATAAGATAAGGTAACTTGGTACTAATTTCTGTTGTATGATCCATCTTAAGTTGCAGCGCTGGTTACTTTTTTGACTTTCGATGACGAACAGCTATTTGTACATAAGTTACCATAGCAATGTTAGGTAATTATAATCTGTCCTATTTATCTCATTTACCTTTCAGTAAAATTGTTAAATAAGCAAAATAATTTCTGAGTTAAAATTAGAATAAAAATTGTCTTTTATTTGGATTACATGAATAATCTAGTTTTCATATTGTGCTAAAGCCCTGCTTAGAATTATGAAATAAGATAAAATATTCAATCATTTTTATCAATATTTTCTTACCTAAGCATGCAATTAAATTTATTTATTTTATATATTTTATATACTTCAATTTGAGAAATAATGACCACATGTTGTTACTTTGGTCTTCAATGATCTCTAATTTTTAGGGTCACCGTGTCTTGCTTAAATATATCATAGTAACAGGTTCAGTGACTATCTTTATTTTTAATTTTATTTACTTATTTTTTTTTTGAGACAGAGTTTTGCTCTTGTTGACCAGGCTGCAGTGCAATGACACAATCTTGGATCATTGCAACCTCCACATCCCAGGTTCAAATGATTCTCCTGCCTCAGCCTCCCAGGTACCTGGAACTACAGGCATGCACCATCATGCCCGGCTAATTTTTTATATTCAGTAGAGATGAGGTTTTACCATGTTAGTCAGGCTGGTCTCGAACTCCTGACCTCAGGTGATCCACCCACCTCAGCCTCTCAAAGTGCTGGGATTACAGACATGAGCCACTGCCCCCAGCCATCTTTTTTATTTATTTATTTTAATTGTTGTTCTGGAGATCCTGGGATGCATAGACAGTGAATATCTTTTTTGTTTTTTGAGACAGAATCTCACTCTGTCTCCCAGGCTGCAGTGCAGTGGTGCGATCTTGGTTAACTGCAACCTCTGCTTTCTAGGCTCAAGCGATTCTCCTGCCTCAGCCTCCCAGGTAGCTGAAATTACAGGTGCCAGCTACCATGCCCAGCTAATTTTTGTATTTTTATTAGAGATGAGGTTTTGCCATGTTGGCCAGGCTGGTCTTGAACTCCTGACCTCAGGTGATCCACCCACCTTTGCCTCCCAAAGTGCTGAGATTACAGGCATGAGCCACTGAGCCCAGCTGAATATTTTTTTTTAAATCAATAACCTTATTTCTTAGAGTAGTTTTAGGTTCACAGCAAAATTGAGAGGAAGGTACAGAGATTTCTCATATATCCCATGCCTCCCACACACGCATAGCCTCCCCCATTATTAGTATTTTCCACCAGAGAGTGGTCCATTTGTTACAACTGATGAACTTACATTGACACATTATAATCATTTGAAGTTCATAGTTTACATCAGGCCTCACTCTAGATGCTGTACATTCTGTGAATTTGGACAAATGTATAATGACATGACATGTATCTATTACTGTAATATTATCGACAGAACAGTTTCACCGCCCTAAAAATTCTCTGTGCTATGCCTGTTCATCTCTCCCTTTCTCCCTAGCAACTCGTGACAACCATTGATGTTTACTCTGTCTTCATAGTTTTACTTTTTTCAGAAGAGTCATATAGTTGGAATAAGAAGAGTGGATATCTTTTTGAGTAGTTAAAAAATTAAAGCTCCATGGCAGTTGAATGTAGTCATTTAAGATGTTCTTTGTCCTTTTGTTTTTCTTTTGCTTCTTTATCATTGTAAAGAATGATGTATTCTGATGAGATATGATTTACATACTTAGAAAACATGATTTGTATAGATATGTGGCACATAATAGAAAGGGTTGAGGAAAAGGACACCACGCCGTACTACACAGCACAACCTGGAGCATCTTGCTCTGTGAGGTGGGTCCAGATAGACTCTTTAGCAATGGAAGGGGACAAGTGCAAAGGGTTGTGCTTTATAAAACTGGAATCACAAAGTCTTTCATACTTACCTTCGGTTGGAAATAAGACCAGGCAGTGAATGCTATTAGGTAAATACATAAGTTCCTCACTTATGAGGAACTTCCTTTGAGGGATGAGGTTGACAACAGCCTGTATTATGATGACATGACTCACCTACAACTAGATTCTGTCATGAGAGATGACAAGGGAGTTTTGCTTTATGCGAGGTGAAAAAAATTTTTTCTCCTACTAGGGAGATGGGCAAGCATTAGAACATTCTGGTAGAAAAAGGGCATTGATAGTTTTCTTTCTATATATTTTTTCACATCAGATAATATTGCATGGCAGCCTGCCATGCCTCCCCAGTGTTTATTCAGCTTCCCTCTGAATGTGGATAAGCTCTTAAAGGAGTGATCTTTCCAGTGGTTCTTTCTGTGGGAGGTAAAATGGCAGGTGAATTTGGGCCTTGTTATACGTAGGCCAGAGCAAATAGCTACAACTAAGGAAACCACCCAGCACCTTACCCAGAAGAGTATTAGCCAGAGTAACACACTGATCTCTCTTGAGATCTTCTCCACTGGTGGCTGGAAAGTCTTTGCAAGGATTCCTGTTTCTGGTCTGATTCCTATGTTTTTTTGGTTTCTGGCGATAGCATGTTTTATTCTAAACTAAACAGTTTGAACTGAAGAGCTAGAGAGGCTGTGTTGTGTTATAACAAAATAAGTGCAGTAACTACACCTTAACTGTGGGAGATACATTCCAAGACCCCCAGTGTATGCATGAAACCATGAATAGTACTGAATCACAAGCTGTTTTTCCCTATACATGCATATCTATGACAAAGTTTAATTTATAAATTAAATTAAATCTGATGTTATCTGTAGATAGGGTGTGAGAATTGAATTGTGTCATCAGCAGGAATGATTGCTTGTTTGTTGGTGGGGAAAAACTCTCCACACATTTGGTCACAGAAGCCTTCTTTGTTGATGTTTGTTGCTGTGGTGTGACAGCAGAGAAAAACGTGTCAAGTATGTCTTTCTGCGCATATAGTGGATAAGGGGTACTAGTGTATACTCTGTTGTAATGGCCCCTCATATTTTGGTCCAGAAATCATGCTCTTTGACACTGTTGACTCATCACACCTGTTCTGCTAACAATACCATTTTTACTCAATCTCATAGGCTTTGGCTAGGATGACTTGTATACTGCAGTTCACTTGTAGATACCAAATTTTAATAAATTTATTCTTCTTTGCATCTAATAAACACAGAGGGAAGAGTTCTTACTGCATTAATTACCTACCAATACGTTTAATGAATGTTAATTCTAATAAGATCCCAGGCATGCTCCCAAAGGAATGCTTTGTAACAAAGCGTCAGTCTTATGCTTTAAAAAACCAAACCAAACCAAAACAACAACAACAACAACAACAACAAAAAACAGGATCTAAAGCATACACACAAGTGTGCACAATTTTTTTATGAAGGTAGAGTCTTACTATGTTTCCCAAGCTGGTCTCAAACTTCTGGGCTCCTCAAGTGATCCTCCTGCCTCATCCTCCCAAGTAGTTTGGATTAGAGGCATGCATCACTGTGCATTCTTATGATTTTAATATTCTGTACATTTATTATTGATTTAAAATGCATTTTACCTTTTTCTTTAATAGATGTTGGAATTTCTGATGAATCTGCAGTCAGGTAAGATTTCATAGATTTAAAAAATTATGTTAACTAAGAAAATATAGATGGAAGAAACTAATATCTGTTGAGTGTTGTATTCTGGGCTAGACATCCTAATATGTTCTATGCACTTATCATCTCATAAAGCCATCATAACTTCTGTGTTCCTATAACCTACTGTTAAATAAACAACTATGGATTAGAGCTGATTAATTGCCTCATGATCCCATAGTTAACAAAGTAGCTGGCCTACAGTTTGACCATCAGCCTGCCTGCCTTCCAAATCCTTTCTCTTGCTCCTCAGCATAGATTGATAGATATCTGTACAGCTCTTGGATCAAAGTATAGGTCTGAATCAGATCAATCGGATTCATTAATTTGATTAACTTCTAAATTAATGAGAGTTTAAATACCTTGAACTCTCATTTAAGTTTATTGTTAGAATGTGGTTAGTCCTAATAAATTTGACGATTTCAGTGGTAACCAGTATCTTATTTTTACCTTCAAAGGCTCTAGGGCAGATCTGACTTAGCTTTGGCCATAGGACTGTAAGTTTTACCAAAGCAAGTTTAGGCAAGTCTTAGAGACAAATTATTTGACTTCCCAGTTTGGTTTTCCATTTAGGCAAGTATTTCTGCTTACTTCCATAATACATTTTTTAGTCTTGTTGCTTTTTCCATGACTTTTATATAATCTTGTCTTCATTTTTTAAAACTTTCTTCTCTGTTTTTCTGGGTGTTTCTTTTGTTCTATTATTTTTTCAAACTCTGCTGCCTATGTATTCCAAGTTTTTCTATAGACAGAATCAAGAGGACATAGAATTACAGAATTTTAAGGAATCTTGGAATGAATTAAAATACCTTCTAGTATTTTTATCTGCATTGAACATTCTGGTCAAGTGATTCTCTAGATAGAGAATGTGAGGCTCAAAGAGATTAGGAAGCTTTTTTTTTTAGACATAGGAATTGGCAGAAATGAGATTTGAACTCATGGTAAAGCCCAGTACTCTTGCTTCTTTTTATGTCCTATTGGCGTGTGTTTTAATAATACAAACGGGAGTAAGCCTGTGGATAGAATGAGAATGGAATTAGCTGGTGAACCCAATGGAAGTAGATAAGAATGGAATGAGCAGGGGAAGTCCAAGTTTGAAGATAAACAACACTGGATTGGATAGGAGTACGGACTCTTCTACAAGAGATCAAAGTATTGGGGTTTATGACAAGTTTGATAAAGATAAATTATAAAATGAAGGACACAAGATGTTGGGAATTATCTACAAAGACACATTAAAATAGAAGGTTCAAGGGAGCTCTAAAAATTTTGCTGCTTTTTTTTTTTTTTTAAATCAAGGACTGACAAACTTGAAGATTTTTACTGAAAGATGCCAAAACATTTTGAGACACTGGGAAGAATGTCTACAGCAGATAGAAATGTGGTGTCATCTACTTCCATCCTGACTTACAAAGGGGTGGCTTAGAGCCCCTGGAGTACTAAGGGGCTGGAAATTGCTGAACTACATAGATGTGTGGCACAGGGCAGGTGTCTCCTCACCTCTGCCTCTTTTCACAGTTCACTGATGTCCTTCCCATGTCCATGTGGGCTGGGTCAGGGGCATGATTAGCTGGCAAATCAGTCATGGAGTTCAGTTGGGTAGTTGGTAGTGTGTATAGCTGGTGGCAGGTGATGGAGACTCCAGTTAGCTTGTTTTTCAGGAGCAGGGATATACAGAGCTCCTACTCCTGGTCATTTGAGACCATTCTTTCAGGAATCTGTGCTTTCATACACTGAAGATTTGAAGATTGGAGACTTCTGTGGAACCCTGCAGAAGTAGAATCTGGAAGTGGGTGTCCATAGTAAGAAATATACTTAGATAGTACTTAGGGAAATAGAGGTACAACTATCATGACTCTGTTTCTTTTCTCGCAGTCTCTCTCCTTGGGTGTCTGAGTGCCTATGAAAATTTTTAAGGGCTTGCTAGTTTATGTGGACCTGAATAAGGTAGGACCTATAGAGTGAAAATAATGGGATTTTATAATTGTTAATATTTTAATCTTTCTGGGAAAAGTATTCTCAATAAGAACATACACCTTTGCTATTTGACTTCTGTACATTTAGCTTTCATACATTTCAAATATTGTGGGGGCTTTCCTGTACCAATTTAGGGTAAAGGAAAGCAATAGGACCTTCCTAAGTTGGATCCAGGCTGAGGAATCAAGACTACCATTTTGAAGTGATGTAGATTAGTCTTTTATCCAGAGACAGATCATGGAAAAGAGACAGTGGATCTTTCTACCTTGTTTTAGGTCATCAGTTTTATTCCAGTTTAGGGAACAAAATTTATGTCATCCATTAATTGAATTTTAAGTTCAGCTTCAGGACAGATAATTTGTGAGGGCACATTATTGTCAGGCTCTGCCAATATATTGACTGTCACTATTTGTTATAAACCTCAAGGTTAGTTTTCATTGAATATTTTATAGATTTAGACAGGTGGAGGCAGAAATAGGTAACTAAAATCTATTTTTAGAACAGAGGACATATTTTAATTATATCAAGAATCATAATTTAATATATAGATCACTGACCTTTCCCCAGATTATGTTTTCCTTTTTTTGAGGGGGAAGCTGGATATAAACTGGCAGTTAAAAAAATTGTAAAGAAATCAACTTGCTCATTTTCATTGTGTATTTTTGCTCTCAAGCATTTTGCATGAACTGTGTGTGGATTCATTGCCTACATTGGATGATGAAGTCTTGAGTGTTGCTACTAAGGTAAAGTGGTCTCTTGTAAAATTAATCTTCTCACTCTGAGTGTAGTTTTGCATAGCATTTACTTTTCAAATTTAGCAGTGGTTTACCTATCATTGTTTTATGGTGGTAATGGAAAGCTGGTCAGAGAAAAACATACCCATGGCTAGTTGATTCAAAAAATGTGTTTAACTTTGGTAACTAATAAAGATTGGTAAGTACTGTGACAGGGTGGGAGCTGAAAAATAAATGAACTGGAAAATAAGTAGTCACAGGAAAATCACATTAGGAAATGCTTTCTCCAATAGAGGAAATATGAAATTTGGTTAAACTTCATTTGGATAAATACTAATACTTTGACTTTTAAATCACACAAGTGTGACTTTCTTAATATTTATTCCTGTATAAATCTTCAGTGGATCAAATTGTTTGCAGTAATCATGGAATCCTCCTGGTAATTTTTAGTGGCAGAAATGTTCAGCACATAGCATATAGGTTTTGTTCTTGGAAACTTATCATTTTGGTGTCATATAGTTTTTAGGAGAGATTGTTTCTCTACTTATATTATTGGTTCTGTAGTGAGACTAAAAAAGTATTACAAATTATAGAAAAATAGCTGAGTTTGGTGGTGTACACCTGTAGTCCCTGCTACTTGGGAGTTTGAGACAGTAAGATTGCTTGAACACAGGAGCTTGAGAACAGCCTGGGCAACATTGTATCTGATTTAAAAATATAAATTGTGGAAATGTAGAAATTTAAATTTATGTTCTCAAGATTTGTATTGCAAAGGGGTTTTTATGTGATTTATTAGTTGTCCATGAAGAGTTTATATAAAACACTTCATCTAATTGAATAACATGTATTTTCCTGCAAATAACCAGTTCTAGAAGCAGAGACTCTTAATACCAATATGGTAAGTCTTTATCATCATAATTTTGTCATTGTAGTTTATTTAAAATATTTACTTGGCCAGGCGTGGTGGCTCACACCTGTAATCCCAGCACTTTTGGAGGCCGAGGTGGGTAGATCACCTGAGGTCAGGAGTTCCAGATCAGCCTGGCCAACATGGTGAAACCCTGTCTCTAAATAAAAAAAAAAAAGCACAAAAATTATCCAGGCATGATAGTGCATGCCTGTAATCCCAGTTGCTCAGGAGACCAAGGCAGGAGAATCGCTTGAACCCAGGAGGCAAAGATTGCAGTGAGCCAAGATCGCACCATTGCACTGTAGGCTGGTTGACAGAGCAAGACTACATCTTAAAAAATAAAATAAAATAAAATAACCGCTCAAAGTCCTTATATCATATTCTGAAAGTTTGAATGTCAGAAGGTTTTCTATTTAGTTTTTTAAATGATCACTGGAAGCTCCTGCATACCATAAGCTACTGGAGGTCAGTAAACATATTTGTGTGTATCCTGGAGTACCTAGAATACAGTCTTCCATGTAAGAAGCATTTTACTTGTTGTTTTTTGAGATGGGGTTTCACTCTGTCACCCAGGCTGGAGGGCACTGGTGAGATCTTGGCTCACTCCGATCTCCATTTCCTAGGCTCAGGTGATCCTCACACCTCAGCCATCCAAGTAGTTGAAACAATAGAGCTATGTCACCATAAACCTGTGTCACCATGCTGGGCTGAGTTTTGTAGAGATAGGGTTTTGCCTTGTTGCCCAGGCTCTTCTTTAACTGTTGGGCTCAAGTGTTCTGCTCGCCTCAGCCTCTCAAAGTGCTGCGGTTACAGACATGAGACATTCAGCCTTAATAGTTGTTTAATCTGAATAAATAAACAAATGAATTTTTATATAATGGAATGTTATAAGTAATATAATAAACCTAATGTATCTAATCATTAAATATTGTATTTAAAATATTGCTTACATTGTATTATTTTTTAATATTTAAGGGTGTATAAGTTTTGACATGTTATGTTGAGAAATTATGCCATAATTAAAAAGGAAATAAAAGAGAAATAGGTCATCGGTAGCAAAGAGGGTTACAATATATTTTCTAGTATCATTCAACTGGAATCTTAACATTGAGATTTTAGATTAACATTTCTTAAGCTTTTTATTAGACCCAACTCATGTTCCATTAAATATACCGTTTCAAGCCATACATTACTCTTTATTATTATTATTATACTTTAAGTTCTAGGGTACATGTGCACAACGTGCAGGTTTGTTAAATATGTATACATGTGCCATGTTGGTGTGCTGCACCCATTAACTCGTCATTTATATTAGGTATATCTCCTAATGCTATTCCTCCCCTCTCCCCCCACCCCATGACAGGCCCTGGTGTGTGATGTTCCCCATCCTGTGTCCAAGTCTTCTCATTGTTCAGTTCCCACCTATGAGTGAGAACATGTGGTGTTTGGTTTTCTGTCCTTGCAACAGTTTGCTCAGAATGATGGTTTCCAGCTTCATCCATGTCCCTACAAAGGACATGAACTCATCATTTTTTATGCTGCATAGTATTCCATGGTGTGTAAGTGCCACATTTTCTTAATCCAGTCTATCATTGATGGGCATATGGGTTGGTTCCAAGTCTTTGCTATTGTGAATAGTGCCACAATAAACATACATGTGCATGTGTCTTTATAGCAGCATGATTTATAATCCTTTGCATATATATCCAGTAATGGGATGGCTGGATCAAATGGTATTTCTAATTCTTGATCCTTGAGGAATCTCCACACTGTCTTCCACAATGGTTGAACTAGTTTACAGTCCCACCAACAGTGTAAAAGTGTTCCTATTTCTCCACATCCTCTCCAGCACCTGTTGTTTCCTGACTTTTTAATGATTGCCATTCTAACTGGTGTGAAATGATATCTCATAGTGGTTTCGATTTGCATTTCTCTGATGGCCAGTGATGATGAGCATTTTTTCATGTGTCTGCCATACATTACTCTTTAGAATTCTGGTGACCAATTCTTTTTCTGGGTGGAAAGTTGATGGAAAGTTCCAGTTTTCTCTCTCTGTTATAATAATGTTCTTTCAGGTAATGGCAGATGACCATATTTAGCTAATTGAATGTCTTATAGTAAGAAACACTATCACAGAAGTACTTACAAAAAACTAATTGCAGCATAAATATTAATTAGTATTATCAGAGTTATGAAAGACCGAAGGCTCTGTTATAGATCTATTTCCTCAAGTACTTTATTGTACTTCATGTTTTTCATTTTCTTTCTTGGCTTAAGCTCATATTTCATTGACTAATTAGGCTTGTTTTTTGTTTGTATCTCTCTTTGTTCTCACATTTTAAATTGAAATTTTTGGGGAGGCAGGGTCTTGCTCTGTTGTCCATGCTGCAGCGTAGTTGCATGATCTTGGCTCACTGCTGTATCCACCTCTCAGGCTCAAGTGATCCTCCCACATCAGCTTCCCAAGCAGCTGGGACTACAGGCACACACCATCATGCCTGACTCCTTTTGGTATTTTTTGAGTAGAGATGTGTTCTCATTATGTTGCCCAGGCTGGTCTCCAACTCCTGAACTCAAGCAATCCACCCACCTTGGCCTTGCAAAGGGCTGAGATTACAGGTGTGAGCCACCATGCCTGGGCAACATTGAGATTGATTTAAAGAAATTGATTAGGGATGGGTGTGGTGGTGCAAACTGCTTATCTCAACATTTTGGGAGGCAGAAGTGGAAGATTTGCTTGAGCCCAGGAGCTTGAGACCAGCCTGGGAGGTATAATGAGGCCTTGTCTCTACAAAGATAACAATAAAAACATTAGCATGACATGATGGTATGCACCTGTAGTTCCAGTTATTCAGGAAGTTGAGGTGGGAAGATTGCTTGAGGTCAGGAGTTTGAGACCACAGTGAGCCATAATCAGGCCCCTGCATTCTAGCCCTGGGTTGACAGAGTGAGACCCAGTTTCATAAAAAGAGATTGATAAGAAACTCTTGATGCAACTCATTTTAATTTTAAATGGAAACTAATTCTTGCTATTACCTTAGCAGTATGTCCCGGAGAAAGTGTCAGAGCCTTTACGTGGACCTTCTCATGAAAAAGGAAACAGAATAGTCAATGGAAAAGGAAAAGGTGAGAACCGTATTTTATTTAAAAAGTCATTTGATGGAGACCAGGCGCGGTGGCTCACGCCTGTAATTCCAGCACTTTGGGAGCCTGAGGTGGGCGGGTAATGAGGTCAGGAGATCAAGACCATCCTGGCTAACATGGTGAAACCCCATCTCTACTAAAAACACAAAAAATTAGCCGGGCATGGTGGTGGGTGCCTGTAGTCCCAGCAACTCGGGAGGCTGAGGCAGGAGGATGGTGTGAACCTGGGAGGTGGAGCTTGCAGTGAGCGGAGATCGTGCCACTGCACTCCAGCCTGGGTGACAGAGTGAGACTCCATCTCAAAAAAAAAAAAAGGCATTGATGGAATGTTTCTTTTAAAATATGAGCACTAATAGAGTTTAATAGCTAAAGAAAATGTCCTATTAACTGTATCATAAGTA
This sequence comes from Homo sapiens, assembly GCF_000001405.40. Lineage (NCBI taxonomy): Eukaryota > Metazoa > Chordata > Mammalia > Primates > Hominidae > Homo > Homo sapiens. The sequence continues at coordinate 11,874,345 of NC_000022.11, forward strand.
AAAGAGAAATGAAATGGTGATAAGTGGTGTCTCTAACCAAGGGTCAGCAGTTGATTCTATTGGAAGTACCACTAAAGGAGCTGAGTTATGAGTTCCATTTTAACATACTCTTAAGACCTGAGGCAAGTCAGGAGAGAGGGAAGAGGAAATGAATAAAAGAGAAAGAAAGAATGAGGAGGGCAGAGTGTACATGGAATAAATAAAAAAAGTAGATGTACGTAATGGAGGGTAGTAAAGTCAAATTGATCTGTAGAAGAAGGAAGAACAGGGTGTTAGAAATAGGAAGGAAGATAAAGTGAGCTTCCAGTACCAAAATGTGTCATATAATTACAGTAACATTTTCCTTCTCTTGCTGTCATTGTCGCTACTGGGGAGGCATTAAGGATTGAGGTACTTTACCATGCAGACCTGTGTTTTATCTACCATAGATGAACATCACCGTAAATGGTCAGCCATGTATGGCTATAATTTGTTTTTATAGAAAATGTTGTAACTTCATAGGATAGTATCATATTAACATAATTGAAAAGAATAGTGTTGGGTGATTTATTGGGAAGAAATTAATTAGAGAAGCTTTGCCTGATTAAAAGTTCATTAGAAACATTATGGCTTATAACGTAGTATTAAATTCAGGGACATAATAGGAAAGAAGTTGAGGCTAGGCCAAAAAGGCCAATTAGGGTAAACCAATATGGAAGCACACCAGTGTAGAACAGGGCATTCAAATTGTCATGAATTCGTTGAGGAGATTCTGGAAAGTGCACATTCTGACTCAGCAGGTATTGGAGTCTGCATTTCTCATGAGCACTCAGGTGATGTTTGTGCTGGTCCTTGGACACAGCTCTGAATAGCAAGGGAATAGCCTTCCTTTAGAGAAATCTGGAAAAAGAACCACTGGAGAGCAATTTAAAAAATAACAGAATCCAGGGAAAGCTTTAATTTCCTTTTATTTCTGAGCATGATTCTAGCCACAGGGGAAGGAAAATGAGATGAAAAAAGTGAGATTACAGGTGTATACTACTGCTGAATACAGATGAAAAAAGTGGTCACAATCATCCATAAAAAGCAGTTAGGAAGGGAAGCATCAGGATGACAGTTCTGATAATCATTTTTTCAAAGGAAGAGGGATGGTGAAAGGACACAAAAGGAGGAAAGAAAGACATTTGCTGGGGTCTTGGGAGTTAAAGCCAAGTAAACTTGAGACAACTCACTTCCAGTTGCTTCAGCATATGCCCAGTCTCACAAAAGAGGTTATTGCTGTGGAGAGTACTGGAGACAGGAGGGAGTGCTAGAGTTGGGGTAAACCACAGCAGCTCATTTCACTTGATAACTGTCAGGCCTCAGGGAGAGAAGTTTCACTGACATGAGTGAATAAGATATGATTAAGTTGCATTGATTCTCTCAGGTTTGATTTGACCCTCTGTTTAATGGTCCCTTTTCTCCTCATCAGTCCACGTGTTCACGGTTATATCAATGCTTTTCTATTTTAAGTATAGGCATTTGAAACATAATCTCACTACTGAAATGTAAACTGTGCATTTTGGGAATCCTATATTCCTATTTTCCTCATTGTGTTTCTGTCATGTTGCTGTCCTAGGCAATGAAAAGAAGAAGCCAAGAAGTAATTATTTTTATAGCCTTAAGTAATTATTTTTATAGCCAGGCCTGAGAATTCAGCCCAACAGTAACACTGCATGAATGTTTGGTTGGCCCTGTCATACTTACATATAATTGATGACATATCCCCTTTGTTTTGTAGGGCCTCCTGCAAAACATCCTTCCTTGAAGGTAATTAATTATGTATATTTTTGAATCACTAACTCTATGTTGTATAAAATATATGTGATTTATGAATCGTTTTCTTTTAAAACCCATTCAGCCTAGCACTGAAGTGGAAGATCCTGCTGTGAAAGGAGCAGTACAAAGAAAGAATGTACAGACATTGAGAGCAGGTACATTTAATGGAATACTGGAAATAAAGTACATTCAATGATTGGATGTACTCATATTATTCTTATTCCTAATTCTATTTGTTCAATATTGAACAGAAGGCATTGACATAAATGTTATTGTTGGTATCCATATTTGAATAAAAACAAATTTAGAAGCATAAAAAAGATTTTAAAAATGTAAGCTTTAAGTCAGATGTTTCTGTTTTAATGTTTTGAATAGCATGAAGTTTTCAGTATAAAATTTTTATACTTGTCAGGGATTCAAAGCAGTGAATTTTGAGACTCTTAAGATATTTCCAGTGAGTTAAGTGCTAGTTGGAGTTCTGATCTTTACCTAGAGGAAAGCTTTACTTATTAAAGTGTTAGTTTCTGTTTTAACTTCAGAGGCTTGCTGCTAGTGTTATTACACTGATGATCTGAAGCCTATCAGATGTTCTAATGAGCAAGACTGTGTGTGTAGGTGTATATATAGATGTGTGTATGTGTACGCTTGTGGCATCTTTGACTATTACAAATGACGAAAGTAATGATTCATTTATGACTGGTAGACACAGTCCTTTAAAATGGTGATTTTGAGCCTTTTTGGTGTTAAAGTTTTTAAAACATGATTGCATAGAGGCTACCAACATCATAAGTTGGTTGTTTTTCATTTCAATGCCCTTTTGAAATCTTTAACTACATTGTGATGCTCAGAAATAATATGCAGAATTTTTGTGTCCTAAAATGGTATGTGAGTGGTTATATACTTTATATACCTTTCTGCCACTTTCTTTGGTGTGTTTTTTATTATATTTTCCACTTGTACCCACATTGGTGTGATTATCTCTGGTTTAATTCATTTTACACTGTTCATTGTATTCCCTCATACCACTTTACCACATTTAGTTAGACTCTCCTGTTGCTGATAAATGAAGAAATAAAAAGAAAAATAATGTCAGATTAAGAGGGCTTTTCTTTAATCGGTTTGTATCTATTAGCATTTACTATATGAGAGTTTAAACCTGAAAAGTTCAGAATACAAGCATGCACCACCATATTTTATTAATGCCCTTAGAACTATGACTCATGAGCCTTTAGCCTATGAAGTTAGGACAATTCATTTCTCTGAAGAAGAATGCTGGGCTGTTCTCAGAAAAGAAAACTGGAAATAGCAAATGATATTGTCTTATTTTACCTCTTGGACATCCTTGAATGAAACTGCTACTAAAGGGATACTCGGATCAAAATTCAGATCTAATGTTTTGAACAGTATAGTTTGTGAATGTCCAGTGATCATAAGCCCTTGATAGGGAAATGACCTTTTGAGTTTCACTTTTGCATTTTTTGCTCTTTTGGTTGACTTGTCTTGAAAGCTTAAATTCGACTATTTTATTTTTACAGAAACCAGGAATATAACTTTTAAAATATATGTCTGTCCTGTCTCACGGTGTTGTGTACTCTTCAGATGTTGTATGAACATAGACTTATATGGGAACAATTAGGTTTTTTGTTTGTTTGTTTGTGTTTTTGAGACAGAGTCTTGCTCTGTCACCAAGGCTGGAGTGCAGTGGCTCAGTCTTGGCTCATTACCACCTCTGCCTCTCGGGTTCAAGCAATTCTCCTGCCTCAGCCCCTCGAGTAGCTGATACTACATGCACGTGCTACCATACCCTGCTAATTTTTCTATTTTAAGTAGAGATGGGGTTTCACCAGGTTGGCCAGGCTGCTCTTGAACTCCTGACCTCAGGTGATCTGCCCACCTCGGCTTGCCAATGTGCTGGGATTACAGGTGGGAGCCACTGTGCCAGCTACAAATACGATTTTTAAGGCTATTATATTTTATACAATTCGTTGGTCTATGTGAATTCTGAAGGTATTCATGCATTGAGGGAAGATTATCTCAGTTTAATGAAAGCAGTTTTTAATTTAACGTATATTCATTAAAATTTTTTTTGAAGTTTTTGTCTCTAGTACACAGAAACACACAATAATGTCATGGGTATTTGACCTTAATGTGTTTATGCACAAACTTAGTTATTCAAATACTTTCTTATCCCTGAAGAATCTTAATTACTAATAAACAAATTTCTCATGGAAAACAACACATATAACAGAGATGGTTGAGTGATTGAAAGTAAACTGTAGTAAATACCAGAAGCTTAGAACAAGTTAAGTAAACTTGTCTGAGTTAATAGCAATTACAAGACTTTTAAAATACATTAGACCACGGGGGAGTAGTGCATTTGTGGGGTAGAGGACAACATGGTACTGCTTCAGTGAAGAAAGAACTTTTACACCTTGTTACAATTTGTATTATTATTTACATTCTAATAAATAAAAACTTTATTTTCAGATATTTTACATCATGTTTCTACTAGTTGAACCATCAATAGTAAGACTTTTCAAAGATTTGGGAAGTTGTGAGTTGATGATAAATATCTGTATCACCATCAGTGATCAAAAATCAGACAGCAACTACCACAGATTTTGGACACGCGAACTTCATAGTTAAAGAAAGGATTAATCTTGGAGCTGTGTTTCTATCAAGGAATTACACTCTTCATTACCTGTGTGAATCGCAGTTATTAGAGTAGAAAGAGAGCAAAGAAGGGAAAGAATCATAGAAAATTTTATTCTAGATTACCTCGTTTGGCTTCATGCTACCATAGTTCTGACTTTTAAAAAGTCATTTTGTGGTCAAATGTACTTTGTGTTTACTCCCCTTATGCAGCCTACAACCAAACAGAATGGTTCTTAGCAAGGCATTTTTATTCTTCCCTTAAGGAAAGCAACATATAAATAACAAAGAGAATGAGAAGAAAGAGTGATTTCATTGAGGTTGGTATTTAACATAAATTTGAGTGCAGGTACCATGATTATATTTAGAATTTTGTGGCTGGATGGGAAAACCAGCTAGATGTCTATAGATTTCCTACTCAAACACAATGTGACTTTGTTTTACTTTTACGTCTCTAATTTAGCAATTATTAGGTACAACTGTATGCAGTGTCACTAAAAATACCTCCCAAAACCAAATATTAAATAATGTCTATGGCTTTCTGTTTTATAGGGTTGATTTTCCCAATATTAATGGGAACCACTGAGCATCTGCCTTGTGGTGTCTCCTCAGCTGTATTCACATATTCCATCACCTTTTCTTAATGGATAATCATGCACTATGAGTAAGGGTTTTCAGAAAAGCTGTGTCATTTAAAGATAACACAGGAGCATCAAATTTAATTCTGCTATGACGCCTGGTCTACTGATTAACTGCAGCTAATATGAGGTCTACTTCACATCCAAGTTAAATTCAGGGCCCTTAATCAGTCATATGATGAGGTCAACAGTAATAAATTATGCAATATTTTTTCACCCACCCCTATAGTTTTAATTTCTTTTTCCCCTTATGTCTGTGTTTAACATTTTGCTTTGCAAAACATGATGATAATCTTCTAGAGTAGTGAGGACAAGCTATAAATCCAAAGTTTCTTACCTATGCAAATGACTTGTTTGCTCTATTTTCTCATGAGCTTGGTAGATCCAGGAAACAGAACTTTTGAAACAAAATCCCCATATGTTGCTGGGTGCGGTGGCTAGTGCCTGTAATCCCAGCACTTTGGGAGGCTGATGCGGGCAGATAACCTGAGGTTGGGAGTTTGAGACCAGCCTGACTAACATGGAGAAACCCATCTCTACTAAAAACACAAAATTAGCTGTTCATGGTGGCACATGCCTGTAATTCCAGCTACTTGGGAGGCTGAGGCAGGAGAATCGCTTGAACCCAGGAGGCAGAGGTTGCCATGAGCTGAGATCACACCACTGCACTTCAGACTGGGCAGGAAGAGTGAAATTCCATCTCAAAAAACAAAAACAACCACAACCACAACCACAACAACCACCACAAAACCCAAATGCATTTCCTTGGCACAGTAAAACTTAAACAGAAAAAGGGTAAAGTAAATACAAGTAACTGAAAGAGTTTATGTATATTATTTTACTTCTCATTTGATAAAATTTGTAAAGTAATGAGCAGAGTGTATTTCTCCAGGGACCCAGATATATACATTTATTTATTCAATAGAAATTCATTCTTATAATGGCCACTGATACCTATATCCTAAATATTTCTGAAAACATCTCCTCAGGCCTGCATCATCTTTGCAACATTGCCTTATATTTTATCTTTGTTCATTGATTTATATACCTCAGAATTTTATGCTCCTCACAGTATTTAGAGTGAATTATCCCTAATGCAAATAGATCCGTGAACCACTCCTGAATACCTAATGTCCAAGCATCTTAAAGGTTTATATAAGGATTTCAGAAACTGACTTCTGGGTTGGGCACGGTGGCTCATGTCTGTGATCCCAGCACTTTGGGAGGCTGAGGCAAGTGGATCATTTGAGGTCAGGAGTTCAAGACCCGCCTGGCCGACAAGGTGAAACCCCATCTCTAATAAAATACAAAAATTAGCAGGTGGTAGTGGCACGCACCTGTAATTTCAGCCACTCAGGAGGCTGAGGCAGGAGAATTACTTGAACCTGGGAGGCCGGGTTGCAGTGAGCTGAGATCATGTCACTGCCCTCCAGTCTGGGAGACAGAGTATAACCTTGTCCCAAAAAAGAAAAGAAAAGGAAACTGATTTCTGCCCAAATCTCCATCTGTATCCCTTTCCCCATCTGCCTTTTTCTCTGGAATTACTGAGCTGCTGGTAATGGCCCCCTCACCATTCCTCTTCTGCAGAGAAATACATACTCTCTTGGAGGCTTCTCTTCCTCTCTTGTTGCTGCCTGGCATGTGCTCACCCTTTCCTGCCCTCTGCCTCGCTTAATCTGGCTAACCTCACTCTCTAAGTCTCAGCTCATGGATGATCTTTAGGAAAGCCATCCCTGACAGCTTCTATTTTCCTTCCTTATTCCCCAGTGCCTAACACTTAGCAGGAACTCAATAAGTAATTATTTAGCAAAATTAAGACTGTTTATACAAAGATGATTCAAAAGATTGTCCTCTACAGTCTAGCAGCAAAGGGGGTCAACATGTGAAGACATGATGTGCAGGTCAGGTGGTAAAGTGACACTAGAAAAATTGACAAGGTACTAAGGGATCCCAACGAAGCAGACACCTGTGTGTGTGGAGAAAGATAGCTAGAATCAAGGAAGATTTCACATAGCATTCTGAGCCTTTTTCTTTTCCTCTTTTTGGAGACAAGTTCTTACTCTATCACCCAGGATTGGAGTGCAATGGCATGATTGAGACTCACTGAAACCTCAGACTCCTAGGCTCGAGGGATCTTCTCATCTAAGCTTCTTGAGTAGCGGGGACAACAGGAACATATCACCATACCTGTCTAATTTTTTGTAGAGTCAAGGTTACCTATGGTTCCCAGGCTGGTCTTAAACTCTTGGCCTTGAGCAATTCTCCCATTTTGGCCTTCCAAAGTGCTGGGATTACAGATGTGAGCTATTATGCCCAGCCTACTTTCTGAGTCTTAAAAGATGAAAATAAATTTTTCAGAATAGCAGGGGAAAACATTTGTGATGTAAAAAATGGGGTGCACACTAATTGAGGTATAAAGAACAATAATCTTGCAAATTATTAGTAACTGCCAACTCAATTAGAGTCTTGTTAAAAAGATACTGTTATGAAGTATAGCAAAGCATTGCATTGTATATTTTGACTGTATTTCAAATTTCTGTTTTGTTTCCAACAGTTTTGTTGACTTATGTTGGGTGGAACAATTTGTGAGTGACCCTGAGATTTTGCATGGCTTGAATCTGGTGATATCTGGTGTCTCCCCAAGTGGTTTGTTGAAGTTTTGGATAATTAGAAGTATTTCTTACAGAAGTAAATATTTCAGTAAACATTGTTTCATTCAAACTCTCAAAATATAAAATACAAAGAAATGTTATTCTCTATTTATTTTTATAAAGATTATAGTCTTTATCTAACTCTTCTTAGTTCATTTGAACTAAATCAATGAATTTGTCAACAGAACAAACCTTACCAGTGGCTTTAGAGGAAGAGCAAGAAAGGTGTGAAAGAAGTGAAAAGAAGCAATCACAGGTATATGAAAATTTAAGTTCTTGTTTAATATTAGGTTTTTTTTTGCTTTAGTAACAAAGCATAGTACAAATGACATGACCTTTCAGACTATACCTTTAGAATCCAATAGATCATAATTTTATATTTAATTTTTAAAACATCTTAACCAGTTATGAAACTTAAGATATTCTTACTATCTCTAAGTAACTATTAGTTATTCTAGTAATTCTTAGTATCTCTAGTAACTCATAGCTGTCTTTATCCTTGGAATTGAGGCAAGAAATTTTCAGAATTATCTTGCTGTTTTATTTATATAACCTTACTCATAATACACAAGGTAACATGAAGTATTGGGTCATATTGCTGAGGAATAGAAATTATGAACAGTTTAACAACAATGGCCACTGAGTTAAACTAGTGTTAAAGGAGTCATCATTGCCAGTGCTTCAAATGTTGCAGTTTTATATTGCTGGTCACCAGTGCCGAGGTTAAAGATTTATTCTGTTTTATGGTCACCAGTTGACTTCTGTGTCTGTGTTCAGGGAGTGAATGGGGTCATAAAAGTCAATGCAGTTGCCTATTAAGAGAATCCTACCTTGCAGAATGGGACCTTTGGTGTCAGGGTGTGAACAATAACTTTATTTCAACATAAATACATAGTAAGCATTACCAAAATTTAAAAAATCCAAACCCTATCACTACTGGAACTTAAAATATATTAGAAGTGGATATAAGCAGAAATTCTATCTAGATACATAACACTATCATAGTATATCATTTGAATTAGAATTTAAAATTTTGCTTCTCTTTCTTATTGGTGTTCAGTTTAGCTCTTAATAATTTAGTGTTTGCCTAGTGCTCTAGTTAATCTTCAGAAATAAACATGCACTGTAGGGGCTCACTCTTTCTGGTATGCTGAGGTAAAGTCTTTGTAAGAGAGGAAGCTTTTATAATACTACCTATCATCTTTGAATTCATTTCTGGTAGATTTTACACAAATGCATTAAGTTTAGTCCAAACAGACACTGAGAGTTCAGCTTGCTGGTTCATGTTTCTGTCCTATGTTAAGCCAAGGCAAATTATTTTTCACTTTTTAGTTACAATCCCATAATTTAAGAGTAGCAACACATAGATTAAGTTTCACAGTTAAATTTTAATTATTTTCTAATATTTCTTTGTTTATACTTGATTAAAGCTAATTTTACAACATGCACTCTGACAGAAAAGACATCTGAGAAACAAAACAAGCAAATTTGTTTTCCATTTTGCACCTGCCCCCCACCAAAAAAAGTCTCAAGAACCAGAACTGGGTAAGAACAGTGATAAAGGGAATCAATCTATATATTCATGACTTTCTTTAAAATTCATTACAAACAAGTTCAAGCTGAATATTGGTAAAAGTTCTGAAAACTCCAAAATTACTGCTTGCCCTGAGGAAGAGCTCCTACATGGTAACTCTAAAGAGGGATGAACAAAAAAGGAGTGCCCTCTAGTCTGATGAATCATGTCCCTGATTGTGAGGAGAAAAATGTATCAGGAGGGTCTAGCTCTGTGGCAGTCCAGGCAGCGCCTGAACAGAGGAAGCCCATGTCAAATGTCTTTTTATTCCATTCACACTCCAGGTCCCTGAAATACACTTACCAGTCATCTTCTAGGCTTCATTTAAATTAAAATAAATCAGACTATAAAAATGATAACAAACCAGACACACAGCTTGTTTCTAACACAGATGATGGAAATTTTTGTTATGATATAGAAACTGAAAAAGTAAGGAACCCAGTAATTATGATTGAAATGAAAGATGATTAAGAGTTTGACATGCAAATGGAAAAATATATAAATCCAAATACCACTAATTGGAAATTAGGCATTGGTCTCAGTCTAGAGATCCAGAAAGTCTTTTTGATTTGTGGTTTACCCACCCCAAAGAAATGAAGCATATGATTCAGATAGAAAGTCACAGTATTTCTGCTGCTACAGATACTTATAAAAACAGAAAACCAACACAGTGCTTATTCCAGAAGCCGCTGTATGACAATCCCAGTGTTAGTAACTACAAAACCATGAATCTTGAATTATAAAATGCGGGTTATTCTTTGCCACATAGTGAGAGAACATCAAAAATATAGCTAGAAGACTTACAGCAAGATATTCCGAGGTCACTAACATAGCACATGTATACATATGTAACAAACCTGCACAATGTGCACATGTACCAGAACTTAAAGTATAATAATAGTAAAAAGAATAAGGTAGGCATGTTACAAGTAGAGTTCCTGGCTTTGGAGAAAGAGAAAGTCCAACTTCAAAAAGACAGAGGTTCACTTGCTGCTTCTTTTTTCTCTTTGTCAATTATTTGATTTAGTCAAATTTTCTATTCAAGAAAATCTCATGTGTACAGTTACAGCAGGGTTTTCTAAATGTGTAATTATGTGTCAAAGTAGATTAGTCCTGCTATCTAAACAACGGTTCTGGAGAATGTTCTCATAATGTTTCTTCATTAATCAACCTAAGTCTCACTCTCAGTCTTCCAAGTGGCATATGAGCTGGGAAACTAATTCAGCCATATACCATGTGACCTTCTGAACCAGATCAACATAAAGAAATTGCTAAAGAAATAAGCTTTAGATTCTAGATTCTTTTTTCTGTATTCATTTAGAGATGAATTACATTTATTTAATGATAGAATGGGAATACAATGGGAGGGAAGCAATGACTGAGATGAGCCACAAAAACACGTCTAGCCTTGAGAGTTGCAATGAATATTCCCAGCCAAATGAGTCTGTTTAATGTGTTTTCATGCACGCCAGTTTATCTGCTTAGCTTAAACTGTTTGAATTTATAGTTCCATCATGGTTATTTCCAATATTTTGAAAACAAATATATACTTCCACATATTTTAAAAAATCACCACTCCAATATTTCTGTTGAATCAGACCTTACATTATGTTGTTTAATAAAGTATGGTAAGTTTTGGCATGTATGATTTTTATCATGTAAGAAAGAAGCATAATTTCTTAGCTAAAAATTTAGCCTTTGACTCTTTAGTAGAAAGTTGAGTTCTGTACATTGTGTTCTAAAGATAGACAAAAATCTAGAGATTTTCTTCTTTCAAAGTAAAAGCAGATGAGGCCTTTTTCCACGCCTTTTTCCACCCTCTGAGGTGTTAAATTGCTTTGCTCAAGTTAGACTTTTAATATATCTGACTAATTTGATAAATTTATCTGGTAATTTATGTAATTGAGCAATATGGAATTGTATCATGTTATTTGGTGCCATGAAATGCTAGGGAATGCCACCTCAAGAGCTCTGGATGAAACATTTCATATGTCTTGGTTGGTTTGACTCCTATTTTCAGTAGATAATGGGGCTAAAGTAGTTAGCTGTACCGTATGTTTTCCACCTATAAACGTTTGTGGTAATTGAATGTGAAATCTGGGAAGCATCTCGTTTTCCAGAATTCTGCATTAGAAACTCAGCAGTTTCACTCTGCTTCTTGTGTTGTGGCAAACATTGGTTCCCATAGTTCAGGGAGAACTTTCACTTTTTTGATATCCCAGGATCCAAAAAAAAAAAAAAAAAAAAAAAGAGATAAAAGGCAGTGGGGAAAAGAATAGCTCAGTGCAGAAAAGGGAAAACTTCTTTACTCTTCCTGAAGGCCTACAAGGTCACATCCTCTTAATCTGGCTATTTCATGTAAAATCCAGGTGGCAATGACAGGAGATATATGTTATGCCTGTGTCTTTTTATTTCTCTGTTTCTGCCAGTCAGATAGCATAAACATTTATATCAGATAGCAAAGAGTGGATGCGAATAAAAGCACAAAATGGAGAAGAGTCCTTTTTGAAATTTTGGAAAATTATTCCATTCACTCAAACAGAAATGAGCAGACTTGACAAAAATTTCAATGATAAAATGATAAGTGTCTTATAATTATTATGTATAATGATAAAATTAAAGTAAGCACAAAATACTTTTATCATTAAAATGGTGATAGTTAACCTGAATCAAGTGAAAAAATCAGGGAAAAAGTTTTTTTATTGAATAAAATAATAATTATTATTCATATTACTTTTACTAAAGGTCAAAGAAGGAAATAATACAAACAAAAGTGAAAAAAATACAACTATCAGAAAATGTATGTCATAGTACATCTTCTGCTGCTGCTGACAGATTAACCAAACAAAGAAAGGTTGGGAAAACGTATCCTCGGCAATTTCCCAAGAAACTGAAGGAAGAGCATGATAGGTAAGTAAGCCTATAGCAGTGTGTTTTTGTTTGTTTGTTTGTTTGTTTGTTTTTCTGAGATGGAGTTTCTCTCTTGTTGCCCAAGCTGGAGTGCAATGGTGTGTTCTCACCTCACTGCAACCTATGCATACTGGGTTCAAGTGATTCTCCTGACTCAGCCTCCCTAGTAGCTGAGATTACAGACATGTGCCACCATGCCCAACTAATTTTTTGTATTTTTAGTAGAAATGAGGTTTCACCATGTTATCCAGGCTTGTCTCGAACTCCTGACCTCCGGTGTTCTGCCCACCTCGGCCTCCCAAAGTGCTGGGTTTACAGGTGTGAGCCATCGTGCCTGGCCACCTATAGCAGTATTTCTCAGCAGATAATTGTCATTGTGCTATAAACTAATTCAAAATTGGACTAATGTTCCCTATGATTAACAAGTTTTATAGTTTTACCAGGGATATTTAGCCCTGCCTGGTAATCAGAAAAATGCAAATTAACATAAAATAAGATATATTTTGTAAAGTCATGCTGATATTGAAAAAGTAATTACTACCATTGAAAATGTGAGGAAAAAGGCATTCTCATACACTGTTGGTATATGAAATTGGTAAATTATTTCTGAAGGGTAACTTAGTGCTGTGTATCAAAATTTCAAATAACCTGACATCCCTTTAACTCAACAACTCCACCTCTGGGACTAGATTTCACAGGAAAACATAACTTGTGTAAACATACACACACTTATTAAGGGCATTAATTATATATTACACATAATGAACAATAGCTTAATAAATATATAAAATATATGTAATAAGAAGGTGAATTGGAAGTATTAAGAAAGAATTATAAAAAGTATGGGGTGACAGATGTTAGACTCTTTAGCCTAGTTTTAGATGACAATCATCTGCAGATGTAGTTTGTGTGAGAGACATCTTACTCTGTAAATCATTTGGAGAGACACCTACAATATTTCATAGAGATGAAAATTTATTTCTAGTGAACTTATACGCTTGTCAATAAATAGTAACTTTAAAAATTTAGTTGATTGTAAATGATCTTTTCTAATCGGGGAGTAATTATGACTGTGTGATTTGAAAAGGTAATTTTGAACTTCTAACTATACTGAATTATTTCCAGTATCCTTTTTTATAATACATACTAGAGTGACTAGTAACAAAAACTTTAGCAGAATATTCTTTCCTTACTACTTTTCAAGTATATACATTCGTTTGAAGATGTTGAAGTGAGAAATTAAATATCTGAGAACTACAAAGGAAAAATAATCCAGAACATAGAAATTTTATTAGGATGATAAAGAGCATCTGCAGAGGTAGATCACAGGATGATCTCTTTGTTTTCCAACAAAATGAATTTTAAGATAAATGTCTTTATCTGCAGATGCATCTTAAGACAAGAAAGTGAAGAAAAAACAAATGTTAATATGCTGTACAAAAAAATAGAGAAGAATTAGAAAGGAAAGAGAAACAATATAAGAAAGAAGTTGAAGCAAAACAACTTGAACCAACTGTTCAATCACTAGAGATGAAACTGAAGACTACAAGAAATACTCCAAATCAGATAAATCAATCTTTGGTAAAAATTCTATATTTTAAACTTTATTTTATCAATGTTACTTATAATATCCTCTTGATTTAATATATAATATTTTGGTATAAAACAAACCAGAAATGTTATCTCATTTTCAAAAAATGAATGATGACACTTACAGGTACAATTATTAATATTTATTATAAATCTTGGCATCCACATAGGATATTATTTTATTACAAAGAGCTTTTGAAAACAATAATATGCCATAATATATACTTAGTGATAACCTATTGATAAAGATTTTTTTCCCAGTAAAATTGTCCCTTGTACTTCCCGCTATTTCATATTGATTACTGTACCTAATACTATAAAGAGGAAACAAATTATTGCAATCACAAATAATCTCATGATATTCTAAGAAGAGCTCTATAAATTTTATCTTATTTACCATTGGTGTTTTGAAATAAAAGTTTTCTTTCGTATTGATACATTTACACCACAGAAGTAACTGTGATCTGTCAGAGAACTAGAAGTAGAGTCAGAAGTCCTGGGGAAAATCCTGTAGCTTGCTTATATTTTTAACATTTCTTTTTCAAAATTGTGGTAACTAGAGGAGTTCATCAATGAATGTATATAGGAGTGACTAGTATAATGTCTAGATTTATGATTTAGTAAATGTAATTCTTACAACTGACTATAAAAGTGTTAAAAGAGTCAAATTGAAATAGAATGTTATCAGTGAAACAGAACTGTAGTAACTCTGGGAAATTTTATCTGTCCAAATACGTGTGAAATAAGGTTCTTACTATAGGGTGGTGTATGGGTTAGATATCAAAGTGTAAATGCAATTTTTTGATATATTTTAATTTAGTCAAATTTGTTAATGCTTTAATTTATGCTTCTGAGTTTGTTGTAATTCAGGGAAAGGCTTTTCCAATTCTGAAATTCTTAAAAATTCTCTAGTGTGCGTGTGTGTGTGTGTGTGTTTACTTTTATAAATTCATTGACTTTAAATAAATTTCTGAACTTTTTGGAACTTATGCTCTATAAGGTTCAAAGTTTTGCTTCAACTTTTTCTCCGGTTGGATATCCACTTACAGTAACCTTTTTGTATATGGATGTGCAGGTTATTCTTTAACTTCAGAGGTAATCATGTTATGTTATTTTATTGCATACTAGCTAAAACTTTCTTTTGTTTTATTTAGGATTTTCATAATCACGAAGAAATGAAAGATCTGATGGATGAAAATTGCATTTTGAAGACAGATATTGCTATACTCAGACAGGAAATATGCACAATGAAAAATGACAACCTGGAAAAAGAAAATAAATATCTTAAGGACGTTAAAATTGTTAAAAAAACAAATGCTGCCCTTGAAAACTATATAAAACTCAATGAGGAATTGATAACAAAAACAGCATTCCGGTATCAACAAGAGCTTAATGATCTCAAAGCTGAGAATACAAGGCTCAATTCCGAACTGTTGAAGGAAGAAGAAAGCAACAAAAGACTGGAAGCTGAAATTGAATCATCAGTCTACACTGACTGCTGCTATAAGTAAACACAGTGAAAGTGTGAAAACAGAAAGAAACCTAAAACTTGCATTAGAGTGAACACAAGACGTTTCCGTACAAGTAAAAATGAGTTCTGATATTTCCGAAGTAGAAGATAAGAATGAATTTCTTACTGAACAACTTTCTAAAACGCAAATTAAATTCAATACCTTAAAAGATAAGTTCCATAAGAAAAGAGATACTCTCAGAAAAAAGTCATTGGCTTTAGAAACTCTCCAAACGACCTAAGACAAACACAGCAGCAAATAAAGGAAATGAAAGAGATGTATGAAAATGCAGAAGCTAAAGTGAATAATTCCACTGGAAAGTGGAGCTGTGTAGAAGAGCGGATATGTCAACTCCAACATGAAAATCCGTGCATTGAACAGCAACTAGATGATGTTCATCAGAAAGAGGATCATAAAGAGATAGTAACTAATATCCAAAGAGGCTTTATTGAGAGTGGAAAGAAAGACCTCATGCTAGAAGAGAAAAATAAGAAACTAATGAATGAATGTGATCATTTAAAAGAAAGTCTCTTTCAATATGAGAGAGAGAAAGCAGAAAGAGTAGTAAGTATCAAGGAAGATAAATATTTTCAAACTTTTAGAAAGAAAATTTAAACATTTGGTTCTGGATACATGTTGAACTTAGTTGAATATAAAAATCAATGGATAAAAGGTGTGTTTACCATACTGTATAATTCCATTTACATGAAGCATCCAGAAAAGATAAACGTATAGGGACAAAAAGTAGACTACTGTTTGCAAAGGGCTGGGGCTGAAAGCTGGTAGTGACTGCTAATGGGCGTGAGGGATCTTGCAGTGATGGAAATGCTGTAAAGTTGGATTGTAGAGATGGCTGCACAACTCAGTAAATGGACTAAAAAATCTTTTAACTTTAAGTTAAAACAGATACATTCTATAGTATGTAAATTATATTTCAACAAAGCTGTTTTAATAAAAAAAAGGAAAACCGTGTTTACTCTACCAGCTTAGAAACGTGCCTCATTTCTAGGAAATAAAAGGTAGAGGTGAGAGATGATTTACTTTGAGAAAAGACATTGTGTCACCTATGAAATTTTATTAGGGACAGAGTCATATTTTAAGGTAGATAGTTCTGTGCTGCTGAAATAATAATTTTAATGACTTTATGTTGCCACATGTTAAGACCATAATGTAAGTATAAACGGAAATGTTTACACCTGAAATGAGTATTTTCAAATTAAAATTTAATTGATTTTCTTTGACACTTAATTCTAGATTTCCCAGATGAACTGAAGTGTATTGCTGTGTCTTGTAATACCTTGCTTTAAGTAGCTTTTTATGTATTTTAGTTGGTATATCTTTGTTATTAATCATATTAATTTAACAAATCTGAAAATATGTCAAATTACATATTTTTATGACTATGTAATGTTTCAAAGGCACCTACTTGTTATAAAATCATAATTTAGGATACATGTGGTAATATTTAGCAAAACTATATTTGGTTTAGTCTTCCCACTGGTATTTATAGTTTACTTTGAATATTTATATTAATAATTAGCTCCTAATTTTTATTTCAAGGCTCAATGACTATCATTGGAATATAATTTTGTTCAGTACAAAGATACTTGTAGCTGCCTGTGATTTATGAGTAAGGCATTAGATCCCTATTTTCAGACTGAGGGGTGGCAGGCTTCACGTACAGTGGGAATGGAGTAATTACAGGAGGGAGTTGTAGGAGCTTTGAAGTCAGAGAGAGAGGTAGAGACCTGTTTACCTAGGACCTCAAAGGCCATTGGAATTTTACCTTTATTCTGAGATAGGAATCTGTTGGAAGGATTTGAACAGGTGATTGAATATGTCAGGAACTTTGAGGTTGAGTTGAGCTTCTAAGATGATTGAATGGTGGGATGAATCTGTTATGTAAGTAAGAGAATACCAACTTGGCAGGAAGAGAATATATTGTGCATCCCTCACTGAATTCAGTAATAAATAAAAATGTGTACATGTGATTAAAAGAAGGTGAATTGATATGTGTGGTGATAATTTTCAAAGTAGGTATGTTAGAGTTAAATATTATTAACATAATTTAATAATAAGGCAATTTATAAAATCAGTACCAAAATATTTTCTCAGGTGGTTGTGAGACAACTTCAACAAGAAGCGGCTGACAGCCTAAAAAAATTAACTATGTTAGAGTCTCCATTGGAAGGTATATCACATTATCACATTAATTTGGATGAGACACAGGTCCCAAAGAAGAAATTATTTCAAGTGGAAAGTCAAGTATGTATGGAACTTAGCATGTCAACGGTTATTCTGTAGCTAGTTGAATTAAATAACATGTTTTAGGATACTAATTATGGCAGAAGCTAGATTTTTTATTTTCATTACAATGAATTATTTCCATTTTACTATCTCTATAATGTACTTATTTTTTTATATAGTGACTTTCATTCTACCATTTTGAAAAACCATTGCATACCTTTTCTCTTACAATATGTACCCTTGGAAAAGTTGAGAATTATACATCATTCCTCATAGAAAACTGACTTTTGTCCTGTTAAAACAGTATTTTTAAGTAATTTTTGTATTGCTCTGATGAGACAGGCCAGATTAAATCAGAGAAGAATGTTTCATGGAATGTTCCAGAAAATTGTCTTATTTCTTCACTTTTGTGAGTGGACACAGAATCTGTGTCTATTTATTTCACAGATTCTAGGATAACTTGTACAGAAAGGCCATTATACTATTCTTTTAAAAGTGTATGTTTTAGGTTAATTTACAAACTATTTGAAAAGTTAGGCATTTTCTTTATCTTTTATTTAAAATATACTATAAAACTGTGGAAATAATTAAATTTGAGATAACATGTACATCAAAAATTGAGAGTTGAGAAAATTATCTTGATCCTGCCTTTGGATTTTAAAAACAGTTTCACTGAGATATCATTCACATTTGAGAGAGTTCAACCATTTAAAATGTACAACTGAGTATCTATTAGTATATTCACAGCATTTTCATCACCCTGAAAAGCAACCCCACATCTCCTAGGCATGACTGCAGCCTTCCTCCATGTCCCTCCACCTACCTCTGCTGTAGGCAACCACCATCTATCTACTTTTGTCTCCATATGTTTGCCTGTTCTGCTTATTTCATATACATAGAGTTATACAATACGTAGTCCTCTGTGACTGGCTTTTTCACTTAGCATAATGTTTTCAGAATTCACTTAGCGTAATGTTTTAGCACACATTGGTAGTTTATTTCTTCTTATAGTTAAATGATGTTCTATTCCATGGCTATACTGGTTTTCCATTCATTCATCAGTTGATGGACCTTTAGGTTAGTTTCCACTTTTTAGCTCTTATGAAAAATGCTGCTGTGAACATTCACTTACAGGTTATTATGTGGACACAGGTTTTTATTTCTCTGCCATTGGACTTTATCCTCAGAGTTAATTGGGCAGATTTCAGCACTCGTCTTGCTCATGCTATTCTTTCTACCTTCTCAGTTTCTGTTCATCTAGCCACATTCACTCAGACGTGGCAGACAATTTATTGTTTTCATGAAGCTTTCTCTGAGTGTTCTCTCATTGACCTTATGTGTTAGCAATCATTGTCTAGTCTGTGCAGAAAAACTTAGTTCTTAATTTTACATGGCTTTTTTTATGGAAGATAATTTTCTCTCATTATAAATTTGCTTAATGGGGGAATAATATATAATATGTATGCCACCTATCCTTGCATACATTGAAAGTATTTTAGCTTAGAAGTTTGTAGCATACAATTCAATACTTTATACCATACCAATTATTTCTTCTTTGAGACCTTGGCACAGTAAGGTTTATATTCTAAGTGTGTTTTTAACAATTATATATCAAATCTAAACCAATTAGTTTAATACAGGAGACTTGTTAAATCACATATTTATGTTTTTCTCTCTATGAAAAAGAATCTAAATTGGCCTTTTTCACTATGCAGCAGAACTGTATTTCTGGACTGCTACCAGTTTGTCAGCTGAACAGTTCTGGGTGCAGCTTGTCCGATGACGGATAGCACAGCACCTCAATCTGAGTGCTCAGCAGAGTGCTTGTGAAGGCAGCACCACAGCAACAGTTGCTTAGAGGGAACGGATTCAGGAGCCTTGATTTAGCAATAGAGTCCAGGGTTTTCAGCTCAGTGTCTTTAGCCTGTCTCTGCTGGTCATGTCAGTTATGTACTATTCAATCCAGGAGGTGCTGTTTACATTGTAGTACATACATAGTCATTGCCTAATGAGTCATACAGAGAGAAAAGTAAGTTATAAATTATGTCCCCCATTTGCTGCAACTCTCAGTGGTAAGAATGATTCAGTGCAGCTATAGGAGAGTACTTCCATTGGCATGCCACCTGCCTAAAATACACAATTTTGTTAAGATATACAATAAAATTATTATGCTAATAGCAAATATTTTATGTAGCTCACTATGTTCCACGTAGTCTTCTAAGTGTTTCGTGTTAGTCCCCAGTTAAACACCTGGTTTTGGAAGGCTGAAGCAGGAGGATCGTTTGAGCCCATGAGTTTGAGACCAGCCAGAGCAATATAGTGAGACCCTGTCTCAAAAAAAAAAAAAAAATTAAACACTTATCTGAGGCATGGTGGTGCACGCCTGTAGTCCCAGCTACATTGGGAGGCTGTGGTAGGAGGGTCGTTTAAGCTTGGAATATTGAGGCTGTAGTGAACAGTGATCAAGCCACTGTGCTCCAGGCTGGGTAACAGAGAGAGACTCTGTCTCATAAATAAAACGTTTTGTATAGATTCCCATAGAAGTGAGTTAGACATCAGTCATAGAATTATTAGCCACTTTGATGTCTACCTTGGGAGTAAAACATATAATAAGGGGCAGTGTTAAACCATCTCAATCAATAGCCTCCAACTTCTCGAGAAGGTTCTTATTTCATGAATTTCTAAACAAGCGACTACCTGGATTAAGACATTTGGTGGACACCATTTTGAGATGA
Organism: Homo sapiens; assembly: GCF_000001405.40. NCBI lineage: Eukaryota > Metazoa > Chordata > Mammalia > Primates > Hominidae > Homo > Homo sapiens. Next base: position 11,894,649 of record NC_000022.11, read on the forward strand.
AGGATCTTGAGTGAGAAGAAGGGAGATTTCTACTTACTGAAGCTTCCCAATGACATAGTTAAGTGTCCCCCAAAAGAAACTTTAGAACAAGACTTTCATCATGCCATATCTCTATGGAAAAGGAATTTCTTTAAAAGAAAACAAAGGCAAACAATTGATAATATGATTCTCATGGGAAAGTTTTCATCATAAAAGAAAAAGAGGGCTGGGTGCCATGGCTCACGTCTGTAATCCCAACACATTGGGAGGCTGAGGTGCGTGGATTACCTGAGGTCAGCAGTTCAAAAACAGCCTGACCAACATAGTGAAACCCTGTCTCTACTGAAAATACAAAAATTAGCCAGGTGTGGTTGTGTACACCTGTAGTCCCAGCTACTTGGGAGGCCGAGGCAGGAGAATCACTTGAACCCAGGAGGTGGAAGTTGCAGTAAGCCGAGATGGTGCCACTGCACTCCAGCCTTGATGACACAGTGTGACTCCATCTCAAAAAAAAGAAAAAAAGAAAAACAAAAAAGGGACAAAGCATACTGGTCCGAAAAAGAAGAAAGCAAGAAAAAAAGGACAAAGTATACTGGTTAGTATCATAACAGTGAGATAGTCCCCCTTTGAGATTAGAAAATAACAGTATACTCAAAGTAACATTATTGAGAACCAACATAAAATAGACAACATTCACTATCTACAAAAGTAATCTGCACCAATTAGCAATGTATGAGCATGTGGTTGAGAATATTTTCTATAATATGTGTACTAGAAGGAAGAGACCTCAAGAAAATGGTCAGAGCTGGAAATGTAGATTAGGGAATCTAGGTCAAAGTTTTGAGATTTTAGGAGTCCTGAGAGAATTTAAAAAGAGAAATAGCCACCAGGCATGGTGGCCACACCTGTAATCCCAGCACTTTGGGAGGCCAAGGCAGGAAGATCATGAGGTCAGGAGTTCAAGACTAGTCTGGCCAACAAGTTTCTTATATAGGTAAACGTGTTCCATGATGGTTTGCTGCACCTATCAATCCATCACCTAGATATTAAGCCCTGTGGGCATTAGTTATTGATCTTGATGCTCTCCCTCCTGACCCCAACAGGCCCCAGTGTTTGTTGTTCCCCTCCCCGAGTCCATGTGTTCTTATCGTTCAGCTCCCACTTATAAGTGAGAAGATGCAGTGTTTGGTTTTTTCTTCCTGCATTCGTTTGCTGAAGATATCAGCTTCGGGTTCATCCATATCCCTGCAAAGAGCATGATCTCATTCATTTTTATGGCTCCATAGTATTCCATGGTGTATATATACCATATTTTCTTTATCCCATTATCACTGATAATGTCCATCTGGGTTGATTCCATGTCTTTACTATTGTGAATAGTGCTGCAGTGAACATGCAAATGCATGTATCTTTATAATAGAATAATTTATATTCCAACGTAGGGTAATTTTAAATCAGTTTTGGTATTAAAAATCATGCATTTTGGAAAATATTGATAATGGAAAAATCCAAATTCTGCCAAAATATGTTGAGAAAATAGAGGGTAAATATATCTTTTCAAACTTAAATGCCTCAGGCTCTTAGTTAATCTTCCCCAGATCTGGGAAGACCTAGAAGGTGGGCTACCTTAATGAGGGCCATTTCAATCTCTTGGCCCTGCAGCAGCTATTTCAAAATACATCAAAAATATATTTGAGGGTAAAATATTTTGATTTCCTTCAGCTTCTTCTCTCTGTGATGCTGCACCAGAATCAGATTAGAAAGGAAGCCACATTATAAGTGTTAATAAAACCCATCTGATGAGATTTGATAGTTTGAAGGGTGTGTTTCCCAGACCCTTTAGATAGAAATTGGGGCCAAAGAAAACAAGGTCTTATTCCTCTATATAAATCTGTCAGTGCTTTAAGCAGTGAAAGAAAGATTTTTCATTTAATTTTACAGACTTGATACTAATGAAAAGGATAGCTTGTAAAATATAAATCTCTTTTTCTATAAAAAGGACATGTTGTTGATTCCTTTAGACCTTGAACCCTGGCCAGTGATTTGAAACCAAGCAGTACCTATCTCCAGATCTCTAGTACCAAATTAATTTGGGGTGGGGGGTAACAGGTTTATTGAGAAATAATGAACACACCATGCAATTCACTCATTTAAAGTATAGAATTCATTAACTTTAGTATTTTCAGAGAGTTATGCCGTCATCATTACAATTAATTTTAGAACATTTTCATCACCCTAAAAACAAACCCCACAGCATTTAGCCATCTTCACTAGTTTTCCCTTCCTCCCTCAGCCCTAGGGAACCACCCACCTTCTTTGTATAGATTTGCCTATAAGCCTCTGAAATAAAAAGCAAGTGGTCTGCTGGGACTGGCTTATTTCACTTAGCATAATTTTTCATGCTGCATCTGTGCTGTAGCAGGTATTGATGCCGGGTTTTTGCTCCTTAGTTCAGCTACATCTGGGTTCTTCTCTCGTGACCAGGAAAAATTAAGCATGCAGACACATTGAGGAGGGCAGAATTTATTATGTGAAAGGACAGCTCTCAGCAAAGAGAGGGGTCCTGCAAAGAGGTTTCCACCTCACAATTGAATACCAGGATCACATGAGCTGAAGCGGCCAGGCTCCTCCTCTGCATAAGGCGTGAATTCCTGGTGACTCCACCCCATCCCCCCACTGCATGTGGGCCTCCGGTCTGCTGTGGGCATGTCCAGGCAAGACAAGTCCAGGTTCCCTTATCTGCACATAACATCTGGTGTAAACACTTGTGGGGCTGGTTGGAGATTCTCCAGGGACCCTTCCGTATCTGCCTAGGCATTTTGCTGTCTCCTCCTAATACGGTATCTGTACTTAATTTCTTCTTATTGCTGAGTAATATTCCATTGTATGGATACATCAAACATTTTGTTTATCCATTCGCCAGGTGATGGACCTTTGGGTTCTCTCCCACCCAAAGGTGACAGACTTTCTGGTTCTTTCCACCTTTTGACTACTATTAATAATGCTGCTGTAAACATTTATGTATGAGTTTTTGTGCTTGTGTATGTTTTTATTTTTCTGGAGTATATACTTATGACTGGAATTTCTGTGTCATATGGTAACTTCATGCTTAACCCTTTAAGGAGCTGCCAGTTTGTTTTCCAAAGTGGCTGCATCACTTTACATTCCCAGCAGCATTAGATAAGGGTTTTAATTTCTTTACATTTTTCCTAACACTCTTTTTTCTTGAACAAAGATTTTATCCTGTGGTGTGAAGTGATACCACATGTGGTTTTGATTTACATTTTCCTAATGACTAATTACATTAAGCATCTATTAATGTGCTTATCCATCTTTATATCTTCTTTGCAGATATATCTATTCAAAATCTTTGCCCATTTTTTAAAATTGGCTTATCTTGTTATTTATTAATTACAAGAGTTATTTATATTTCCTATATATGTAAGTCACTTATCAGATACACGCTTTTCAAATACTTTCTTCTACTTGGCGTCTTACCTTTTCACTTCTTCATACTGTCTTCTGAGGCACAGCAGTTTTCAATTTTGAAGTCTATTGAATCCATTTTTACTTTGGAGTCATAGCTAAGAAAACACTGGCAAATGCTGTCACAAAGATTTATGCCAGTGTTTTCTTCTGACAGTTTTATAGTTTTAGCTTTTACAGTTAACTATTTTATTTTGAGTTAATTATTAAATAAGATATTTGGTCGAACTTTATTTATTTTTTGCTTATGGATACCCAGTTGTCCCAGCACCATTTGTTGAAAAGACTATTCTTTTCCCATTTTGTTCTTTTGTTAAGCTTGTATAAAATCAATTGACTGTAAAAGTGCAGGCTTATTTTTAGATTGTCAATTCTTAGCTTGTTTATGTCTATTCTTATGTCAAGGCCCAATCGAATTGAATGAGAAGTTTTTTTCAATCATGTTGCATATTACCAGTTGTCTTATGTCATAATAAAAATTAAATTTAGTGGAATGTCTGTAACTTCACCTTTTGTGTCACAAAGGAGTCTCTGGTCAGCTTATACCTTACTTCCTCTAAGACATGATCAGACACCAGGCTTACAAGACACACTTAATTTCTTTTTTTCTCCATTCAAGCCTTTAGTCTCTTTTCCATTGCCTCCCACTATAGTTATATTTTCAGTAAGTTTTGGTTACAGGATCTGCTGACATAGTCTAATATTCAGTGCATTATGTTTTACTAACTCATTATAATTCATAGAACCTTCCATAGATGTTTACCATCTAGGAAGGAGAAGTTTAAGTCTGAGCCACCAGCTTTCCTCAGTGGAAATCAAGTGAAGTCATCATCTTGCAGTTTACAGACCCTCTTTCCTCCTGGTAGCTGGTTCTCTTGGGTAGCACTGTGGCTAATCCTTTTCTTAGTGCAGATCTTGCATTCTCAGAAACCACAGTTCCCTGTATTGACCTCCTTTTACTGAAACAGAGATGCACAGCTCTGCTTTCTAGCTCAGTAGAGGATTCTTGGAATAAAACGTTTAACTCATTCCAAGAAAAAGTCTTAGGAGTGCAGCACTTCAAAATCAGGTAACGTTCAGGCAATTTATCAGAGACACATAGTAGATTAGTATTTTGACTTTCAAAATTTCAGAGCCAAGTTGTGTGCTACAGAGAAGCATTGTGGCATAACATAGAGATGGGATGATCTTAACTTCTCCATACAAACAAGCTTGGAGTAAGGTAAAGGAGAAATTGCATTTGTGTCTTAACACTCAAAACACACTATGCTTATTTTACTTCTGTGAAGAATAAAAATCATTCCATAATATTCTCCTTATTTCCTCATTTAGAAAAGAAAATGAAAATTGAATACTAGGTTGATTAATAAATACTCAAAACTTCTTCTTTTAGAATTTTAGTTAATTGAAATCAGGTAAATGTCTGATTTTGCCTATGTCACCCAGTATTTCTAGTTGTTTTTCAAATCATACATCTTCTTGCTTCCCAGTCTTACTTCTTAACTTGAGGGGAAATTGTAAGAAGACACCCTTGCCTTGTTATCAGAGTTCATAATTGAAGGAGTTTTAGGAAAATTCCTCCTCAGCAGCTTATGTCTCTCTCCTGGTTATCTACTGCTTCTCAATAATGTTTGACATCATTAAATAAATATCAACATTTATTAGATCCTGCTTTAAAGGAGACTCTTTTCTGCTGCATAAGTTATGTTTCCTGTTGTCTCTTTTTAAAACTTATTTTCCTAACAATTACCCAGAGTCTTGTGGCTTGAAGGAAAAACATTTATTTTGTTCATGAACCTGTGGTTTGGGAAAAACTTGGCCAGGACAGCTTGTCTCTGCTCTCTTCAGCTTCCTTAGGAACAGCTGATCAGTTGGGGAAATGGAATCCTCTGAAGCTTTGGTCACCCACTTCTTTGATGGTTGATGCTGGCCATCGGCTGTAAACTTGGTTGGGACAGGCAGCATGAACACTGACACAGGCACTTTCAGGCTCTCTTTGTGGCCTGATGGCTCTCACAATTGGGGCTGGGTTCCAAGGGAAAACAGTCTGAGATAGGGAAGCCACATGGTATCCCTTTCACTACATTCAACTCATTAGAAGGAAGTCAGTAAGGCTGACCCATATTCTGTTTTTTAAATGGGATGAATGTACCTTCTCTTTTGTTTTAATTGACACATATATACATAATTATGGGCTATAGAGTGATATTTTTATACACGTATATAGTGTGTAATGATCAAGCTAACTAGCACATTTACTACTTCAACCATTTTTCATTTCGTTGAATTGTGAACATTGAAAATTTTCTGGCTTTTTAAAAATATACAATAAGTCATAGTTAACCATATTCACCCTACAATGCCACAGAACACCAGAACTCACTCCTCTTATCTAACTGTAATTCTGTATACATTAACCAGCCTCCCCTCCCCTACTTCTGTGAGCTTTTTTTTGTTAAGAGACTGGGTCTTGCTAGTGTAGTCTGGGCTCTGGGCAACTGTAGTCACCCAGACTGGAGACAGTGGTTTGATCATAGTTCACTGCAGCTTCAAACTCTTGGGCCCATCTGATCCTCACACCTCAGCCTCCTGAGCAGCTGGCATTATGGGCATGCACCATTGCACATGTCTGATTTTTGACTTTGTAGAGATATCTCCCTATGTTGCCCAGGGAGCTCTGGAACTTTGGCCTCAAATGATTCTCTTGCCTTGGTCTTACAAAGAGCTAGGAAATTACAGGCATCAGCCATATTTCCCAGCCTTCAATTTTCCTTTAGCTCCCTTACATGAGTAAGAATGTGCAGTATTTATCTTTCTGTGTCTGCACTTAACATAACATCCGTCAGACTGATCCACTTGGCCACGAATAACAGGATTTAATTCCTTTATACGGTGAATAGTATTCCACTGTGTTTGTGTGCCACAGTTTTTCGTCCATTCATTTGGTGATGGACATGTAGGTTGATTCCATACACAAGCTGTTGTGGATAGTGCTACAGTAAACATATGAGGACAGATATCCTTTTGATCTATTGTTTTCTTTTCTATTGCCTGAATACCCGGTAGTGGGGTTGCTGGATCCCTCGGCAGTCCCATTATTAGTTTTTTTGAGAAAACCTCCTGTTGTTCTCTATAGTGGCTGCACTAATTTACCTTCCCACCAACAGCATGTAAGAGTTTACTGTTCTCTGGAGCCTCACCAGCATTTGTTATTTTTTTTGTCTTTTCAATGACAGCAATTTATTCAAATTGAAGCAAGATTATATCACATTGTAGATTTGATTTGTATTTCCCTGAGGATTAGTGATACTGAGCATTTTAAAATTTACTTATTGGCTATTTGTATTTCTTTTTCTAAAAAAAGTATAGTTAGATATTTTGCCCAATTTTAAACTCAGATTTTTTTTACTGTGAAGTTGTTTGAGTTTTTTTGTATATTTTGTATATTAGTCCCTTATTAGGTGAATAGCTTGACAATATTTTCTCCTATTCTACAGGTTTTCTCTTCACTCAGTTGTGTGCTGGACAGAAGCTCTTTAGCTTAATGTAGTGTCTTTTGTCTATGATTTGTTGTTTGCCTATGCTTCTGATGTCTTACCCATAAAAATCTTTGTGCAGACTAATGTCCTCAAGCATTTTCCCTATATTTACTTAGAGTAGTTTGATAATTTTGGGCCTTACATTTCAGTCTTCAATCGATTCTGAGTTTATGTTGTTATATGGTGTTACATAGGAAGCTAATATCATTCTTCTCCATATGGATATTTAGTTTTCCCAGTGTCATTCATTTGAAGAGGCTGTCCTTTCCCCAGCGTATGTTCTTGGCATGTTCGTCCAAAATCAGTTGGCTGGAAATATGTGGATTTATTTCTGGGTGCCGTATTCTATGGTCTTTACCCCAAGAATCATTACTTCTTAAAATGCAATTCAAATTAGCATGAAACATTTGCAGTTTAAGGAAAAGCTTATAGCATCAGAATCCTTAATCATAGATTTCATTATTTTGTGTTGTTTTTTGAGATAGGGTCTTTGTCTGTCATCCAGGCAGAAGTGCAGTGATAATAATTCACTGCAGCCCTGAACTCTGGGTACAAGCCATCCTTTTGCCTCAGTATCCCAACTAGCTGGGTCTACAGGCATGAGCCACCATGCCCGGGTAATTAAAAAAATTTTTTTTTTGTAGAGATGGGGGTCTCACTATGTTGCTCTGGCTGATCTCAAATTCCTGGCCTCAAGTGATCTTTCTGCCACAGCTTTTTAAAGTGCTAGGATTACAGGCATGAGCCACCATACCTAATATAGAGTGTAATATCATTTTCAAAGTCTTATTCCTAGACCCATTTATTGACTTTGGCCTAAATAACTCAATATGATATCTCTGAAACTTTTTTTGACATACTGTGGGGAATGATAATGAAGGAAGGGGGTTAGACACTTTTTACTAGGAGATAACTTTGTGCCATTTAAGGAGGAACAAAAATGAATTATCAGAAAAATAAAAGTAAAATGAAGTACAAAAATTCTGTGGCAAAGATGATGATAGTAAAGAATATATTTTTATGACTCATGGTAGCTTTAACTTTGTTCTTAAAATTCTGAGTAATTTAAGGGTTCACATTTGAAGAATCTGCTGCATTACAGATAACATTTTATTGCAAATAAATGCATTTCAAAATTTGCTATTGGTTTTGTATTCGATTATTCTCAGCCTACTTAATTATCAAGCTATACTATTTTATTCATGCAGTTTGATGATCTTATGGCGGAGAAGGAAGCTGTATCTTCAAAATGTGTCAATTTGGCTAAAGAGAATCAAGTTTTTCAACAGGAGTTATTATCTATGAAAAAAGTACAACAGGAATGTGAAAAACTTGAGGAGGATAAAAAGATGTTGGAAGAAGAAATATTAAATCTTAAGACACATATGGAAAACAGTATGGTAGAACTTAGTAAACTACAAGAATATAAATCAGAGCTAGATGAAAGGGCAATGCAGGCAGTAGAAAAATTAGAAGAAATCCATTTACAGGTGAGTTGTTTAAATCAGATAAGTTTACTTGTAATGTGCTTTCATTTATTTCACTGCAAATTATATTTTGGAGATATATATTATATATATATATATATATATATATATATATATATATATATATATATATATATAGTGTTTCCTCTGCCTCTCTTGTAGCAATCTGCTTTGTAGAGTTCTAGAAAAAAAATGGTATCTGTTTTTTCTTTTAAATATTTAAATTTCCATTATTATTATAACAAAATCAATCTTTCAGAGTAATGATTCTCATTATGGAGTCATTTGATGATTAAGACCAGTTGGCATAGGAAAAAATTGTGATTTAGAAATTATGTGATAATTATGAATTGGTCTTAAGCTACAGTGTTCATTGATCACTTTTTAAAACTATGAATGGATTCTATTACTTTTTATATGACCAGATTACATTAATACTAGCATAATTATGATTTCAAATTTTTACAAATCAGACTTAATTCTGAATTCAGTTATTAGTTTTGATATTGCTGAAATATTTTAAACTTCATCCTCTTTTTTAACATATTCAAAAATACTCTTTGAATCACTGACTCAAAATGAAAGGCAACAAACATAATAATTAGGTTATAATTGTTTTAAAAGTGTATTCTTTTCCTTTGTTTTAGGAACAAGCACAACATAAAAAACAATTAGAGCAGTTAAACAAGGATATAATACAGCTTCACTAAATAAGAAGGAACTCACACTTAAAGATGTGGAATGTAAATTCTACAAAATGAAAACTGCTTATGAAGAGGTTACAACTGAGTTAGAAGAATATAAGGAAGCCTTTGCAGCAGCATTGAAAGCTAATAGTTCCATGTCAAAAAAATTAACTAAGTAAGTCAAAACATACACTCATAGAAAATGAATTAAGCTCATTAATTTGTTTCAAAAGCATAATTTTTAGTGAGATGGCTTCAGGAGATTAGAAGGAAGTGAATGCTAATTTGACAATGTAATTTTGAAAAATAATGTGAGTAAATAATTTTACCTTTAAAATGTTAGTCAAAGATAGTTTTTGTCTCTCCTCTCATTTTTTTTTTGCTTTTGTATGGCTTTTTTTCCTGAAAAGTCTCATGTAATTAACCTGATCTGTTAGTTTTTTTCACTAAGTATTTCTGAAGCTTTATAATTAATGAAGTGATCTTGTTATAAAATTACTTGTCAGAATTTCCCTAAATAGAAATATTAATGTGTTTAATTTACTTTTCAGTGGATCACAACCTAAATGCAAAGTGGTACTGTTACTCTGGGCACAATTGTTTTTGATTGTGATCTTTAGTATTATCACCAGAGGGTGCCTCAAGAAAGACTATTTGTGTAACATATTCAAGATGTTACAGAAAGGCACCCTTGTGAAATAGGGAATAATTATCACAGGAATTTAAAGAAGTGTAATTCACAAAGAGGTTAAAAAATAACACCTTGTTCAGCCTGAAGCGGTGTGTGGAAGGCAGAAAGAACATGCCCCACCTCCAGGGCCTTGGTCACAGTGTTGGGGACTAATTGCCTTCAGAGATGCTTTAGTTCTTTTTGATCACCAACCAGACAATCTAGTTCTCCCCTAGGAGTTGTTGCTCTGAATTATTCCTCAGTGCCAAATGTTTAATTGGTCCTAGATAATGGGTGAAATGTACAAAAGTGAAATCTAAAACTGGTTTACTAAACACAAGTATTCCTAGATTTTTTTTCGTTCATTTTAGTTTTCTTAACCTACATTAAGGAGTATAACATGATGTTTTGATATAATTATTTCTAGTGAAGTGGTTCTTATAATCAAGCAAATCAACATATTCATTTTCCCACATTATTACCCTTTAAATACAAGTATTTCTAATGGAATCTTCAGAATCTTACAAGTAGAGCCATTTTAGAAGGCAGGAAGTTTTACCTGTTGAGCCATACATCACTGATAGTCATTTCTCTTCCCTGTCTACTTTGTTTGAACTGCTTGTTCAGTAGAAATCACCTTAGAAACAATGGTGCTTCTTTAGAACGATTTTAAAATTATAATTCCTTACAACAGGTATGCTATTACACATCTTCTGTGTGAAAACACTATTTAGTGGGTAATTTGGTTTACTCTCAGGGTAAGTTTTTAAAAACTGAAAGTCATTAAGAATCATTTAAGGAAAAATGAAATATTAAACATTTGTCTTTGCTATCTTTACAGATCGAATAAGAAAATAGCAATGATCAGTATCAGCTCTTTATGGAGAAAGAGCAGGTGAAATATTTTCTCAGCACTCTTCCTAGAAGGCAAGGTCAAGAGTCACCTTGTGTTGAAAATCTTACTAGTATAGGACTCAACAGAAAATATATTCCCCAAATGCCCATAAGAATTCCTACTTCAAACCTCAGACTTCAAATAACTGCCAGAACTACTTGACTGAGGTTAGTTATATGACCGTTTCTCTTTAGGGTTTCATTTCTCTAGCGTAATTCTTGTTTATAATTTGGTGAAATACTGAGTTGTTCTGTTGACTTTTGCATGTGAAGTAAAGATCATAATTAGCTGTGTTAACACAGAAAGGAAATGGGAACTTTACATTTTTTAATTCCCTGGAGCTCTCATTTTCAAGAGATATCCATTTGCTAACTTTATTCAATAAATGTGACTAAACTGACACGTTTGAAATGTCTTTAAAAGCTGCATTTAAGTTAGGTTTTAGAAATTGCATGTTATTGCCTGATAACTGATGATATACTTTGAGATGTTTTGGCTTACTCTCTAATTGATTGTAGTTTAGCTGTGGTTCATACCACATTTTTTTTTTCTTTTTTTTGAGGCAGTGTCTCACTCTGTCATCCAGGCTGGAGTGTCTTGGTGCCATCTCCACTCACTGCAACCTCCACCTCCCGGGTTCAAGTGATTCTCCTGCCTCAGCCTCCTGAGTAGCTGAGACTACAAGCACCCACCATTACACCCAGCTAATGTTTGCATTTTTAGTAGAGACAGGGTTTCACCATATTGGCCAGGCTCTTCTTGAACTCCTGACCTTGTGATCTGCCTGTCTGAGCCTCTCAAAGTGCTGGGATTACAGGCATGAGCCACCGCACCCGGCCCATGCCACTTTTAAAGTTTCTTTGCACCAGCCAGGTGTGATGGCTCATTCCTGTAATCCCAGCACTTTGGGAGGCTGAGGCAGGTGTATCACGAGGTCAGGAGTTCAAGACCATCCTGGCCAAGATGGTGAAACCCCATCTCTACTAAAAGTACAAAAAAAAAAAAATTAGCCTGGTGTGGTGGTGGGCACCTGTAATCCCAGCTACTAGGAAGGCTGAGGCAGAGAATTGCTTGAACCTGGGAGACGGAGGTTGCAGGAGCTGAGATTGCACCACTGCACTCCAGCCTGGGTGACAGGGCAAGACTCCATCTTGAAAATAAAAAAAAATTTTTAAAAAGTTTATTTGCACCATCTCAATTCTTCCCACCCATAATCACAAATGAATGATTGGCATCCAAACACTTTGCCACATATGGATGTTTATTATTTAGTAGAATCCAAAATAATTGCATTTTATGAATTAAACAAAACACTAAAATGTTCATTTCCATTTTTATGTTAAAAGCTTTGTGCTTGGCCAGGCATGGTGGCTCACACTTGTAATCCCAAAATTTGGGGAGGCCGAGGCAGGTGAATCACCTGACGTCAGGAGTTTGAGACCAGCCTGGCCAACATGATGAACCCTGTCTCTAGTAAAAATACAAAAATTAGCAAGGTGTGTTGGCAGGCATGTGTAATCTCAGATACTCAGGAGGCTGAGGCAGGAGAATCACTTGAACCCAGGAGACAGAGGTTGCAGTAAGCCAAGATCATACCACTGCACTATAGCCTTGGTGATGGAGACTCTGTCTCAAAACAAAACAAAAAAAAGGTTTGTGCTTTCCTTACATAAGAGTACATCTTCTGACTATAAAAATCCTGGAAGAAAACCTAGGAAATACTCTTCTGGATATCATATTTGTCAATTAATTTATGGCTAAGTCCTCAAAAGCAATTGCAAGAATAACAAAAATTGACAAGTGTGATCTAATTTAGCTAAATAGCTTCTGCACAGCATGAGAAACTATCACGGGATTAAACAGACAGCCTAAAAGAATGGAAGAAAATATTCACAAAGTATGGATATAGCAAACGCCTATTATCCAGAATCCATAAGAGACCTAAACAAATCAACAAGCCAAAAATAAATAAGACCATTAAAAATGGGCAAAGGACATGAACAGACAGTTCTCAAAATAACACACGTAAGTGGCCAACAAACATTAAGAAATGCTTACCATTGCTAATCATCAGAAAAATGCCAAACAAAACATCAGTGAGATACCATTTCACACCAGTCACAATGACTTTTGTTAAAAACAAATAATAAATAAAAACTTAAAAAAGGATGTTGGGATAGGCTGTGGAGAAAAGGGAACACAAACCGTTTGTGGCAATGTAAATTAATTCAGCTACTATGGAGAGCAGTTTGGAAATTAAGAACTAAGAATGACTGTTGGATGCAGCAACCCCATTACTATACTAGGGGTATACCGAAAGGACAATAAATCATTGTAACAAAAAGATGTATACACATGTATGTTCATTGCAGCACTATTCACAATAGCAAAGACGTGGAGTCAATCCAGGTACATCCAAGGTAGATTGAAAATCCAAGGTAGATTGGAAAATTCCATATATACCATGGAATACTATGCAGCCATGAAAAGAACAAAATCACGTCATTTGCAGCAACATGAATACAGCTGGAATCCACTCTCCTAAGCAAACCAACGCAGAAACAGAAACCAAATATCTCATGTTTTCACTCATGTGGGAACTACATATTGGGTACACATTGTCATAAAGGTGGGAATAATAGACACTGGGAAGTAAGAACAGGGAGGGACAGAGTGGGCCAGGGTTGAAAAACTACTTCTTGGGTCCTATGCTCACAACCTGCAAACCTCGGTATCCATCGATATGCCTTTGGAAGAAACTTACAGAGGTACCACGTTAATTTAGAATACAAACTAGAAAAAAAAAGAAAAGTTTACTATAAGTAGAGAACAGAAATTTCTTTTTAAGATAAAATTTATTGAAGTAAAAAATGGATTAAACTTTTATAAAGGGCAGAGTTTTCTAAGAATTTCAAAGCAATGCATTCATTGCAAAAGATGGCTTTAATTACTTAATCTTTTTTTTTTTTTTTTTTGGGAGACAGGGTCTCACTCTGTCACCAGGCTGGAGTGCAGTGATGCAGTCTTGGCTCACTGCAACCTCCACCTCCTGGCTTCAAGCAATTCTCCTGCCTTAGTATCCCAAGTAGCTGGGACTACAGGTGCACATCACCACGCCCAGCTAATTTTTGTATTTTTAGTAGAGATGGGGTTTCCCCATGTTGGCCAGGATGGTCACGATCTCCTGACCTTGTGATCTGCTTGCTTTGGCCTCCCCAAGTGCTGGGATTACAGGTATGAGCCACCATGCCTGGACATTGTTTAACCTTTGTACTAATAAAACACTACCTTTCTAAAATCATGTATATGCAATAGATCAATATTAACTGCATTTTTGTCAGATTACTCTAAACAGCATTACACATATACATCCTCTGTTATCTAAACTTAAAATAAGTAGAAATTTTATTTTATTTATGTGATTATTTTTCTATTTAAGCAAACTTCAAGTTATGTCTAGTCACTAAAAATACTAAAGGCCACATTTTGTAAGTGATACATGATTTTCATGATAATGTTTCTTGTTTAATTTAGACATTATTATTATTTTTACTTATTTTAGATGGGGCCGGACTGTGTAGAATAAATAATTAGAGAAACAAAGAGAAGTACGTTGACAAAATTTATTAATTAAATTTAGGTTTATTTTAGAAATAAAGTGTAAATAGCAAATGGCATTCCTTTTCATTCTTGGGTTAGTAGATACTACATCAATATTTTTTTTCTTACACACCTCTAATGAAAGATGTGAAAACAAAAACTTTCACAGAGAAGACTGTACTTATGCACCATAAATTCATCATGTTCCAAAGCTTAAACAGTTCCCAAGAAGTCTGTGCATCTCTTTTTCACTGGTTCTACACTTTCTTAAGTTTTGCCATCCTCATGGAACTGTCAGCCAGCACACTGAAACGATTCTCAGAAAACAAAAGCATCATCAAGTTCTCAGGGTTTTGGTAGAGATTGAAGGCCAACAGACCTAAGACTCATTCAGAAATACTTAGCTGAGCAATAACCCTTCATAAGCACTCACTTAACAGGTGACATTTTAAATCTCCTCTAATTAACTGTGTCATTGGCTTACACTTGTTCTCAGGAAAAGTTCCAAATTTTTCACCATGAAATAAAAACACCCATGTCAATGTAATTCTTGTCAAGTTACTCAGCCTTGTTTCTCACCACTTACTGCACTCTGCCCTTTGCTCTAGCACCAAACTGGATGGAGTGGAACTCTGCAGGGCTCTTCCTCACCTCAGGCTCTTTGCCTTTGCCTCTTTCCTCTATCTGGGAAGCTTTTCCTTGTCCTTCAGGTATCAACCTATGTTATCTCCTCCACCAGAAAGCCCATGATATTGACATAAAAGTGGATAGATGTCCCTTCTCTGTGTTCCAGTAGTGCCCTGCTGTATACCTGTCATGGTATCTATGACTCTATATGGACATTGCCTGCCTGTCTGTTTTTTAGATTATAGCTTATGACTGTTGAGAGGTGGACCATGCCATCTTCATCTTGTAATTCCAGTGCTGGTTCGAGTACCTTAGCATGTGGCTGTTGATTACATGAATGAAGACTGAAAAAGCTCTGATATTTAAACACAATTAGAATTAATGCCATGTGTAAATTATTAAATAGTAATTTTGTATTGTAAATGTACATACATATTTCTCATTCTTATTAACTCTGATAAAGTTCTCAAGTCTTTAGTTTTTAAACTCACACTTAGTTAACTGAAGTGTTTTAGGTAAAGAACAAAATTCTTTATTTTTCTTTCCAGCTGTTGCTGTACTGGACACTTGCTCCCATCTACTTTCTTCTCTGGAATCCACGGGTAAGCCACATCTAATGAAGAGAATATTTAACCATAAAGTCTTAAGGAAAAATTGTATGATGATTTAAAAGATTATAAAACTTTATTACTGGGCTATTTACACATTTTAATTGTTTCTCATAAAATATATAAAATTCCAATATTTACTGAAGTAGGATATTTTTGTATCATATGTATGATTATAATTTATAGGGTATTTTAAATGATGTTTTTTGGCCTCCTTAAGTTTTAAGTGGATCTTGCAAATGAAAACAAGTATTATTGAGTTTGACATACTCAAATTGCCCAAATGTCAGCTGTTTAAATAACCAAGTCATCATTGATACTTTAGTAAAGGTTAGTAAAGGTCATCGAAGGCTTATTTGCATTTTACAGTTTTTATTACTTAGGAGACTTAAGGAGTACCTGCCAGGTTTGTCCATGCTAATGTTACAATTTTCTTTCTGTAGTTCAACCGTATTTGGTATGGAGATACTTTGAGGCTCTGTAAATATCTGGTTATTCCTCAGAACCCACTAGATTTAGCATTTCGTGGATGACTTGTGTTTGAACAATTATTACTATGATGGTTACCAGATGATTATTTTCTTATTCTCTTCTTTGTTCTACATGGAGAAATAAAACCAATAAATAAGGGAGAAGGAAAGCTCATGATTCTGATGCTCCAATTCCCCAAGATTAGGCCAGTAGTAGACATTCCAAGCTGACTTTATGTCTCTTTGATTTGTCTCCATTACTCTGTCGGCACTTTTTTACTTTCTGGCAGAAGATGTTCTAAGCTCAGCTTGTATTTTCTCTGCGCCAGCTCTGGAATGAGTCATTTTTTTTAGAAGCAGAGGTGGAGACACTGAGGAAGCACAGGTGAGCCCTCCCCAGTGTGTACTCACTGGTCCCCAACAGAAGAACCACTGCCACATCCACTGAGGTGCCAAGAAACTAGCAAAGGGCCTTCTGGCTGTCTGGGGAGAGTCCTCATGGGGTCCCTGGCTGTCTCAGAGGTTCTGGATTAGTCTTCCGGTAGCCTCTGTGTTGTGTCTTTAGATCGGGGCTCTGTGGGAAGGGCCCTGAGAGACCCAACAGCACAGCGTGCCTTATCTGCTAAATGTCCCTCCCTTCCTCACACTCTGACACTCAGGAATAGGGTAGATGGTGTGTCCAGGCAGTGTCAGGCCACCTCACTTTCTCCTTTGAGACGGGCCCAGAGGGCCTTTGGGGTGAGTGTGGAGCTGGGAACCTGGAGCCTGAGGCCAACTGTCTCTCCCTGTGTCTTGGAGGAAAGGCCATGTCCCAAAAAAAACCCCAGGGCCTGACCTCTGGGCACACATGCAGGGAGGGAGGGTCTATGAGCTGAGGGGGACATTGTAATGAGACTTTGAGCCCCGTTGCTCCGGGGCCTGGTCAGTGGACCATGGTCAGAGATGACCTGGTCATCAGGACCTAGTCATTTGGGACATGATCAGCAGGGGCCTGGTTAGTGGCGGCCTCCTCAGTAAAGGCCTCATCAGTGGGGACCTGGTGACCTAGCCATTGGAAGCCTGGTCAGTGGGGGAACCTAGTCAGTGGTGGCCTTATTAGTGGGGCCTGATCTGTTGGAACATAAACAATGAAAAACTGGTTGGTGGGGCATACACGATATATCATGGGCCTGGTCAGTGTGAGGCCTTAGTGGCTTGGAGCCTGGTCAGTGAGGGCCTGGTCAGAGGGGGCTCGGTCAGCTGGGTACTCGTTCATGGAGAATTGTTCAGTGGGGGGTCGGGTGAGCAGCAACCTGGTAAATTGTGGTCTTGTCAGTGGGAACCCGGTCTTGTCAATGGGGACCAGGTCAGTGGAAAATTGGTCAGTGGGGTCTGGCCCATGAAGCCTATTAAGTGTGGGCCTGGTTAGGAAGACATGGTCAGTGGGGACTTGATCAGTGGGACCTGGTCAATGGAGGAGTGGTCATTAGGGGCCTCATCACTCATCACTGGGAACCTGGTCAGGGGCAGTTGGTCAGTACCTGGCCTGCTGGCCACTATGTGACCTCAGGCAGGGGGGTTGTCTGTGGAGCCTCCTTGCCTCCATCTGCAGGGAAAGTGAGTTGGGGCACCCTGGAGGGTGGCTGGAAAGAGAAGGTGAGAAGATGTGTTGAATCCAATACTGCTTGGCAGACCTACAACTTTACAAATGACCTGTGTTCCACCTAGAGAGGGTGCCAGCCCTCTCAGCATTATGCAGTGCCCCTCCTCTGTCTGCATCCCCAGGACCACCATGGGTGGGGAGGGTAGAGATTGGGGAGCACCTATAGAGTCTCTAATGCTCTAAGGTGACAGTGATGAGGACCTGGGTGCACCCATGAGTGGAGAAGCTAGGCCTGTCCAGAGAAGCAAGACAAACACACACATACACACACACACACACACACACAGGCACACATGCATACACAAATACATTGCATACACACATGTCAGTTCAGGGGATAGAGGACTCTGACTCTGGGCCCTGTTGACCCAAGCAGACTCCCATGGTGGTGGGTTGTGTCACCCCACAATGTCACTGTTGCTGAGTCCCCATCGCCTCTGTGTTGTGGAGCAGTTAGAGACACACAGCAGTGTCTGTGAGTAGCTCTGCGTGAAGGACCATTTTCTAGATGAGAGGCACATCTCAACACAGCTCACTGATCAGATTCAGGTGAGTGGGACCTGCTCTTTTCTCTTCCTCCTGGCTTGGGAAAAGTCACTATCAGGTGGATGGTTTTGGCCTCTGGGCAGCTACCGAGGGTAATCCCTGAACACTCACCAGCTGCCTGTTATGTGCTGACAGTCATCTCATTCATCCTCGCAGCAATTCCATTCTGCATCTTTTCTGATCACCTCCGTGACCACACAGGACAACCCCATCAGGGCCCTGTCACCAGGCCCAGTCTAGCTCCATGATAACCAAGACACACGTCCAGAGACAATCGTCCTACATTGTGCCTGCATCTGACCCCCCTTGGTAGGTAGTGACCAGCACAACATGGAAGAAGCCAGGGCAGCTTGCAGCCAGCTGCTCTGCAGCCCCAAATGGCTCCTGGGCCTTGGGAAGTCATTCATAAAGGGGAAGCTGGTCACTTTGAGGTCCCTGAAGGGAAGGGTGAACGTGCATCCCAACAGCCCTGGCAGCCAACAGCATGCCATACATATTCTCACCCAACGTGTGTGACAGAGGTCCCCTCCTGGGGCACAAGTCCCATACCTAAAGCATCCTGTCCCAGTCGGACCTCATCCTGAGCCTTGGGAGGGGAGGGGCACCATGGGCCCCCCTGCAGCAGCCAGGATTACCACCCAGGGGACTCGGCCTTCTGTGGCCCTGGCCAGACTTAGAATTTGGCCCAAGACAAACTTACTCGGAGCAGCTTCTCAGTACCTGGGGCCTGTGCATGCCAGGCAAGGCCAAGCTGGCTCAAAGAGCAACCAGCCACCTCTGCAAGGGTGTGCCAGGAGCAGGTGGAGCAGTCACCAACCTCACCCACTCAAGGAAACAGGGATGGCCAGTTTCCCACAGTCTGAGTGACCACCACCTGACAGCTGATGGAGTGGAGGACTGAGGAAAAGCAGATGGCACTGGGGCTCCACCTCCAGGGCAGAAAAACTGATTTGCCCTGACTGGCAGGGAGTGACGTTGGTGGCTGGTCCACTGGCTCCTGGCACACCCTTGCAGAGGTGGGTGGTTGCTCTTTGAGCCAGCTTGGCTTTGCCTGGCATGCACAGGCCTCAGTGCAACAAATGTGCTGCAAATGGAGCCACATAGAGGAAATGAGCAGCAGGCTCAGAACTGGGGTGTGTGCCGCCTTTGGGTCTCCAGTCCAAGCATCGGGGCTTCTACAGCACTGTGGGCTTCTCGGGTGCCAAGAGGCAGACCACAGGCCATCTTGAGGAGGACTCTGGTAAGAGCTTCCTTGTGTATGTGGATGATGTCCAGAATGTTGGCCTGGTGTTCCTGAGACAGCACTAACAGGTCCATGACTGGGTCCAGATCCTGCCTGGGTTGATGGGCAAAGAGCTCACTGACAGTGAGGAAGGCATCTATGGTGAAGTGGATCTATGTTCATGTGTAGAAAGGGCCCAATCTTGTAGATGAACCACACAGCCAGCTTCTGGATGCAGGTGCAGTGCCACATTTTTTGTCACTTCCTGATGTGCCCCACCAGCACTGAAGAGATAGCCTGGAGACAGGGCAAGAGGAAGGCTGAGAAGGATGAGATGGTGAGTGCCAGATTCTTCCTGGCCCTGAGCCCACCCCCAGTGTGACACTCAATTTTAGGAGTGGAAGAGCAAGATTGACAGCTTCAAGTGCTTCACCAAGAAGATGGACAACAGGGCACTCAGCTCAACTTCACAGCCAATGAGTGGTGGCAGGATTTGAGAAAGAGCATCAGAAGCCTGACAGTTCTTCTTCAGCCTCAGCCAGGCCTTGGAGCTGGACCAGGCCATCCACTTCAGTATAGATGCCTCCCACTCTGTCAGTGAGCTCTTTGCCAGTCAGTCCAGGAAGGACCTGGACCCAGCCATAGACCTGTTAGTGCTGTCTCAGGGACACCAGACCAACATCCTGGACATCATCCACATACACAAGGAAGCTCTTACCAAAGTCATGGAGAGCAGGCAACATGTGGCAGAAGGGAAGACAGAGGTGCAGAGGCTGATGACGTCAGAATCACAGGAACAGGATTTCTTTGGCCACTTTGGCTGAAATTCACCACTTCCATCCAATTCCAGTGAGAGATATGGACTCACAGATGCAGCATTTCTTGCAACAAGAGATACTACTTTTTCAAAAAGTCACCCAGGAATTGATAGTGTTGAATGCCTCGATACTCGATCGTGGACGGTTTCCAGTTCAAGGATACTTTCTACAGCAGAATAATAACACTAGCAAAGAGCTAGTACAAGGATGGTTTTGTGCTCAACTGAAATCCAGCTGAATACAGAATTGTATAGGAAACAGTTAATATGGTGATAGAATAGAAACAGTAGCAATCGTGAACTAAATCATACTATGAATGCCTAAACTACTGCTGTAACTTTTGGAAAAATGATAATACCACTTTATTGCTTTTTGAAGTATGAATATTTTAGTGTATATGCTCTAGACTTCAAACTCTATAAAGAGTCTCAAAGAAGTTGGCTGGATAAAGCCTGCTGTAGATGTCTTTATATTCAAAGATTGATGATGCAATTTGAATATGTGTCCCCACCGAATCTCATGTTGAATTATATTTCCTAATGTGGAAGGTGGATCCTGGTATAAGGTGATTGAATTATGAAGGCAAATTTCTCATGAATGGTTCAGCACCCACCCCTTGTACCATCCTCACAATAATGAGTGACTTCTCATGAGATGTAGTCACTGAAATCTCTATATCACCTCCCCACTCTCCGTGTTTTCCCCTTGCCATGTGAGACAATTGATTCTTTCTTTGCCTTCCATGATTATTGAAAGATTTCTGAGGCCTAGAAGCAGAAGCACTGTGCTTAGAACCATGAGCCAATTAAACCTCTTTTTCAAAATAAATCATACAGAAAATGGCAAATGAGGACTGGAGCGTTGCTTTAAAGATACTTGGAAATGTGGAAGCAGCTTTGGAACCAGGTAATGGACGGAGGTTGGAAGAGTTTGGAGGGCTCAAAAGAAGACAGATGAGAAAACTTTTGGACCATCTTAGAGTCTGGTTCAATGGTTGTGACAAAAATCCTGACAGAAACATGGACAGTGAAGGCCAGGCTGAGGAGGTCTCAGAGAGAAATAAGAAGCTTTCTGGAAAATGTCTTCCTTTTGGATATGGAAAGCTTACACAATGCCTGCTTTTTATTTCAGAGACTCATAGGCAAAAGAGACTGTAGCCTTGACCCAGATGAGACTTTAGACTTTATAACTTTGAGTTAATCCTGAAATAAGTTAAGACTTTGGGAGACTGCTGGCAAGACATGTTTGTATTTTGCAATGTGAGAAGGACATGAGATTCATCGGGTCAAGGACAGAATAATATGGTTTTTGTCTATGTCCCTACCAAAACTCATGTGGAATTATATTTTGTAATGTTACAGGCAAGGTCTAGGTGGAAAAAGATTTAGTCATAAAATGGTGCAGGTAGATACTTCACGAATGATAAAGAACCATCACCTTGATGCTATCCTCCTGACAATGAGTGAGTTCCCATGAGATCTGGTTGTTTAACAGATCTCATCCTCCTGCTCCTGCTTTAGGAGACATCTCATTGTCCCTTGGCTTTCTGATATAATGAGGAGGCTTCCTGATTCCTCCCAGAAACAGAAGACACTATACTTCCTTCACAGCTTGCAGAACCATGAGTCAATTACACCTCTTTTATTTACAATAATACAGAAAAGTAGAACTGCAGAGAGGAGCTGTGAAATGCCTTCAAGGCCTTTTTCCCTTTGTTTTGGCTATTAGCACAGGGCTTCTTTATATACAAATTTCTGAAATCTTCCTGAATGTTTCCCCTTAAATGGGATTTTTGTTATTGCATCATAGCCAACCTGCTATACAGATTTCTGAAAAAGTAGAAGCAGACTCAGTAGTGGGTAGCAAACAAAGATTGGAAGGGTTTGGAGGGATTAGATTATGACAGGGAGTGGGAGGGAGTGATTTAATCATGGATGGGTGGGGGTGTATGTGGAAGGGAAAAAGGGGTGGGTAGGGTGGAAGGGAAAAAGGGGTGGATAGGGTGGGAGGGAGTAGACTGGCTGTACGGTGGTGGGAGGGTGGTGGGTAGTAGGAAGGGGTAGTAGCCTGCTGCAGAGGCAGAGTCTCATGGAAAATCCCTACTAGGGAAGCGCACCTGTGGCTTTGCAGGTTTGAGCCCCAATGGCTGCTCTCATGGACTGGACTAGTGTTGAGTGCCTGTAGCTTTTCCACACGGAGGGTGCAAGCTGTTGGTGGGTCTATGTATCTGGGGTCTGGAGGGTGGTGGCCCCCTGCATGGGGGCTCCAAGTCCATATTTTCCTTCTGCACTGCCCTAGTAGAGGTTTCCCAAGAACGCTTCATCTGCAGCAGGCTTCTGCCTGGAAACAGTGGGAGTTGGGGGTGGGAGGCAGATCCTTCACCGATGGTTAGGCAACATCTTCTTGATGCTGTCTTCATGATAGTGTGTTCTTATGAGATCTGGTTATATAACAGGGGGTGGCACCTCTTTCCTCTCTCAGTATTTCTTCTACCCCTGCCATTTGAAACATCTCATTGCCCCTTGGCCTTCTGGTATGATTGGAAGGCTTCCTGATCTGATCCTCCCAGAAGCAGAAGCCACTGTGCTTCTTTTACAGCCTGCTGGACCGTGAGCCAATTAAACCTCTTTTCTTTATGATCATGCAGAAAATTAGTACTATGAAGTGGAGCCATGAAATGCCTTCAAGGCCCTTTCCCCTTTGTCTTGGCAACCAGCACTCAGCTTCTTTTCATGCAAATATCTGAATCCTTCATGAACTTTCCTCCTGAAAATGGACTTTTCTGTTTTACCACATTGCCAGGCTGTGATAAAGATAGCTGACAATGTAGAACCAGGTTCAGAAGTGGGTAAAAGACAGAGGTCAGAAGAGTTGGGAAAGCTTAGAAGACAGCAAGATGAGGAAAATATTGGACCACTATAGAGAATTGTTAAATACTTGTGATAGGAAGGCTGACAAAAGTGTAAACACTGAAGTCCAGACCTAAAAGTTCTCAGATGAAAATGAGGAATTTCCTATGAACAAGAGACAAGATTACATTTGATTGGCCTTAGCAAAGAAGCTGGCTGCATGGGGACCCTGCCCTGGAGATCTGTGAAACTATGAACTTGGGGGTGATGATTTAGGATGTATCTGGTGAAATGAACATCTAGGCAGCATAGCACAAGAGGTGTCCTGCCTACATTAAACAGCTTGTGTTCTTATGGGTGACCTAAGAAGTGACTTCAAGTTGGAACTTCAAGTGGAGATCTAAAGTTTGGAAAATTTGGAGCCTGGCTAAGTGGTCAAAAAGAAAAGCCGATTTTGCGGGGGAAAATTCAAGAAGGCTTAGGGTATTTGTATAAAAGGAAACCCAGTGCAAAAAGCCAAGACAGTGGGAAACCGGCCTTGAAAGCATTTTAGAGATGTCTGCAGCAGCCTTTGCTGTCACAGGCCCTGGGGCCTAGGAGAAAAGAATGGTTTCCTAGGCCAGTCCCATGGCTCTGCTGCTGTGCTCAACCGCAGGACACTGCTGCCGGCATCCGTGCAGCTCCAGCACCAGCCATGGCTGAAAGATGCACAGGTAAACTTGGGTCATTGCTTCAGAGGTGGCTCAAAGTCTTGATGGTTTCCATATAGTGTTAAGCCAGTAGGTGCACAGAGAAAGAGATTAGAGGCTTGGGAACTCCCGTCTAGACTCCAGAAGATGCACAGAAAATCCTGGATGTTCAGGAAGAAGCTTTTCCAAGAGTCAGAGCTTCATGGGGAACCTCTACTAGAGGAGCAAAGAAGGGACCTATAGGGTTGAAGCCCCCACACAGGGAGGCGTCATTCTCTAAACCCCAGATTCATAGACCCATAAACAGCTTGCACCCTCAGTGTGGAAAAGCTATGGGCACTCAACAACAGCCCTGTCCATGAGAGACAGCCGCGGAGGCTGAACGCTGCAAAGCCACAGGTGCAGATCTGCCCAAGGCCTTGGGAGCTCAGCCCTCACAGCCCTGTGCCATGGATATGGGACAAGGATTCAAAAATGGTGATTTTGGAGCTGTAGCATTAAGTGACTGTCCTGCTGGGTTTTGGACACTTATGTATCCTATGAGTCACCCACTGCCAGTACAATCATTGTACCTTGGAAGTAGTAAACTTGCTTTATAATTCACTGGCTCATGGGCAGGAGGGACTGTAGACTTGTCTCAGATAAGACTCTGGGCTTTGTGCATTTGAGTAAATGCTGGAATGAGTTAAGATTTGAGAGACTCTAGGGAAGGCATCATTACATTTTGCAATGTGAGAAAGACATGAAGTTTGGGGGACCAGAGACAGAATAATAGGTTTTGGCTCTCTGTCTCTACAAAAGCTCATGTGGAATGTTAATGCAAAATGTTAAAGGTGGGGGCTGATGGAAGGTGATTTAATCATGGTGGAGAGTGGAGGTTGGATGGTTGGGGGCACCGGGAGGGTGGGGGGGATTCTGGGGTGGAGAGGGTTGGAGGGAATCGGGGGTGGGGAGGGTTGGAGGAGATTGTGGTGGGGTTGGGGGTGAAAGGCAGGGGTGGGGGTGAATCCTTCACAAATGGTTAAACATCATCTCCTTAATGCTGTCCTTCTGATAGTGAGTTCTCTTCATGATTTTGGAGCTGTGAGATTGAATGAAAACTGACATACTGGATTTTGGATGTCCATTGGGCCTGTGGTCCCATTTGTGTTATTTTTCTTGGAAATTTCTTCCCTTTGGATTGAGAAAGTTTACCCAGTACCTGTACCATCATTGTACCTTGAAAGAAACAAACACCCTTTTAACTTCAGGGACTCATAGGCAGAAGAGACTGTAGCCTTGTCTCAGATGAGACTTGGAACTTTTTACATTTGAGTTAATGCAGGAAGGAGTTAAGCCTTTTGGAAACCTTTGAAAAGGCATGATTGTATTTCATTCTGTGAAAAGGATATGATATTTGGGGGGTCAAGGTCAGCATAATATGATTTGGCTGTGTGCCCCTGGAAAAACTCATGTGGAACTGTAATCCCAAATTTTGGAGATGGGGCCTGGTGGGAGATTATTTAATCATGGATGGGAGGGGTAGGGGTGGAAGAAAAAAGGGGTGGGTAGGGTGGGGAAGAATAGGCTGGCTGTAGGGCGGTGGGAGGGTGATGGATAGTAGGAAGGGGGAGTAGCCTGCTGCCGAGGCCGAGGCTCATGGAAAACTTCTACCAGGGCAGTGCACCTGTGGCTTTGCAGGCTTTAGCCTCCATGGCTGCTCTCACGGGCTGGGCAGGTGTTGAGAGCCTATCACTTTTCCATACTGAGGGTGTGAACTGTTGGTAGGTCTATGAATCTGGGGTCTCGAGGATAGTGGCCTCCTGCATAGTCAGTCAAAGCCCTTATTTTCCTTCTGCACTGCCATAGTACAGGATTCCCAAGAGCCTCTGCCTCTGCAGCAAGCTTCTGTCTGGAACACTAGGAGGTGGAGCTGTGTTGGGGGGTGGATCCTTCACCAATGGTTAAGCACCATCTTCTTGATGCTGACCTAGTGATAGTGAGTTCTCATGAGATCTGGTTATATAACAGTGTGGCACCTCTTTCCTCTCTCAGCCTTGCTCCTACTCCTGCCGTATGAAATATTTCATTGCTGTTTTCCTATTGGTATGATTGGGAGTCTTCCTGAGTCCTCCCAGAAGCAGAAGCCACTATGCTTTCTTTACAGCCTGCAGAACCATGAGCCAATTAAACCCCTTTTCATTATGATCATACAGAAAATAAAGTACTGTGAAGTGGAGCTATGAAATATCTTCAATGACATTTCCCCATCGTCTTGGCTATTAGCACTGGACTTCTTTTTAATGCAAATATCTGAAGCCTTCTTGAAGTTTCCCCCTGAAAATGGACTTCTTTTTCTTCTACATTGTCAGGCTGCAACAAAGATAGCTGAAAATGTAAAGCAGGTTCAGAAGTGGGTAACAGCCAGAGGTTGGAGAGCTTGAAAGAAGACAGGAAGATGAAAGAAATTTTGGACCATCGTAGGCACTTGTTGAATAGTTGTGATTAAAAGGCTGGCAGAAGGATGGACAGTGAAGGCCAGGCTTACAAGGTCTCAGATGAAAATGAGGAAATTACTGGGAACAGGAGCCAAGGTTACTTTTGTTTTGCTGTAGCAAAGAACATGGCTGCAGGGCGACCTTGCCCTCGAGATCTGTGAAAATTTGAACTTGAGGGTGATGATTTAGTGCATATCTGGAGGAATGAACTTCTAGGCAGCATAGCACAAGGGGGATCCTGTCTGCATCAAACAGCCCGTGTTCTTGTGTGACCGAGGTTATGTGTGACTGAGGAAATGACCTCAAGTTGGAACTTATATTTAAATGACAAGCAGAGCTCAAAAGTTTAGAACCATTTGCAGCCTGGCCAAGTGGTCAAAAAGAAAAGCTGATTTTCAGGGGGAAAATTCATGAAGGCTCCAGAAATTTGCATAAAATGGAGGCCAGTGCTAATAGCCAAGACAATGGGGGGGAAAAGCCTTGGAGGCATTTCAGAGATGGTTGCAGCAGCCCTTGGTGTCACAGACCCTGGGGCCTAGGAGAGAAGAATGGTTTCCGGGGCCAGCCCCATGGCCCTGCTGCTGTGTGCAGCCTCAGGACACAGCTGCCTGCATCCCAGCAGCCACAGCTCCTGCTCCGACCTTGGCTGAAAGATGAACAGGTACAGATTGCATCACTGCTTCAGAGGGTACAAGCTATAAGGCTTCACGGCTTCCACACAGTCTTAAGCCAGCAAGTCCATAGAGCACTAGCCCAGAGGCTTCAGAGCCTTCATATAGATTTTGGAAGATGTATGAAAATGCCTGAGTGTCCAGACAGAAGGCTGCCAAAAAAGCAGAGCCTCCTGGGAAACCTCTACTAGGGCAGTGCAGAAGGAAAATATGGGGTTGGAGCCCCCACACTGGAGGCCACCATATGCAGACCCCAGATTCATAGACACACCAAGAGCTTTGTACACTCTGTGGGTAAAAACTACAAGCACTTAACACCAGCACAGCCCATGAGGGCAGCTGTGGGGACTGAAAACTGCAAAGCCACAGGTGCAGATCTGCCCAAGGCCTTGGGAGTCCAGCCCTCATGCCCTTGTGCCCTGGATGTGGGACAAGGATTAAAAAAGGATGACTTTGGAGCTGTAAGTTTGAGTAACTGGCCTGCTGGGTTTTGGATTTTCCTGGGATCTGTAAGTCCCGTTTGTGTTTCATTGTTCTCTCTGGCAAAAATCTTCCTTTAGGGTGGGAATTCTTACTCAATGCCTGGACAATCATACCTTGGAAATAGTTAACTTGCTTTGTATTTCAGAGGCTCAGGAACAGAAGGGACTGCCTCTTTGTCTCAGATGAGACTTTGGGCTTCAGACATTGAAGTAAATGCTGGAATGAGTTAAGACTTTGGAGGTCTTAGCCAAGACGATGGGGAAAAGTCATTGAAGGCATTTCATAGCTTCACTTCACAGTACTAATTTTCTGTATGATCATAACAAAAAGGGGTTTAATCGGCTGATGGTTCTGCAGGCTGTAAAAAAAAAGCATAGTGGCTTGGGGAATTGTAAGTAAGGCATCACTGTATTTTGCAAAGTGAGAAGGACATGAGATTTGGGGAGGCAGGGACAGAATAATAAGATTCGGCTGTGTGTCGCTATGGAAACTCATGTGGAATTGTAATCAGAAATGTTAAAATTGGGACCAGGTGGAAGGTGATTTAATCATGGAGGGCACTGGGTGTTGGAAGGTGGAGATTGGGGAGGATGGGTGGATTATGCTGGCGGTGAGGAGTGAAAAGTGGGGGTGGGGGGATGATCCCTCACAAATAGTTAAACAGCATCTCCTTAATCTTTTCCTCATGATGGTGAGTTCTCGTGACGGTTTTGGAGCTGTGAGATTTAATGGATACTGGTCTCCTGGGTTTTGGACTTGCATTGGCCCTGTAATTCCATTTGTGTTATTTTCCTGGCAAACCCCTACCCTTTGGATTGAGAAAACTTACCCAATGCCTGTACCATCATTGTACCTTGAAAGAAAAGAACTCCCTTTTAAATTCAGGGACTTATAGGCAAAAGGGACTGTAGCCTTTTCTCAGGTGAGACGTGGAACTTTTTACATTCGAGTTAATGCTGAAATGACTTAAGATTTTGGCAACTTTTGAAAAGGCATGATTATATTTTACTCTGTGAGAAGGATAGGATATTTGGGGGATCAGGGTCAGAATAATATGGTTTAGCTGTGTGTCCCTACCTAAACTCACATGTAATTGTAATCCCGAATGTTGCAGGTGGGGCCTGGTGAGAGGTGACTTATTCATGGATGGGAGAGGGGTGGGGTTGGAAGTAAAAACAGGTGGGTAAGGTGGGGAGGAGTAGGCTGGCTGTAGGGTGGTGTGTAGCAGGAAGGGAGTAGCCTGCCACAGAGGCAGAGGCTCATGGAAAACCTCTACTAAGGCAGTGCACCTGTGGTTTTGCACCTGTGGTTTTGCAGGGTTTAGCACCTGTGCTAAGCAGGTGTTTCGATGGACCTGGGAGATCTTGCTCAGAGATTCTGACAGGACAAAGGTAAAGGAAGGGCCAGAGTGGTCGGAGAGATAGTCACAGTCTATGGTCTGCACAAGATGGAGGAGGCCAGGGAACAGGCAGGGTGGGCAGCTTGGTTTCAGGGAGAGGCAGGTGCATGCTGGGAGGTCAGACCCTATGAGGGTTGTGGGGGCGTCAGGTGGTGTGGGCTCCAGGTGCACCCTCAGCGCACTGGGCAGGTCTTTGCCCAGGCTCCCTGGACCTTGGCCGGGTGATGTGGTCACTTGCTGGGAGACTGTTGTCAGGTGCTGGCCACCCACCCTGGGTAGCACTGTCCTATCTCAGGACTGGACTTCCTCAGATACTGTAGAGGGCACAGCCTCCAGCCCAGGAGGGGCAGCCCCTTGGTGCAGCCTGAGCTCTCCATGGGCCTGGAGCATCCCCTGCCAGCCCTGCACTCCCTCTTCTCCCAGGTCCCACTTTTCCAGGGTCAGCCAGTGGGGAGGCCCCTTCCTCACTTCCCTATGTGTCTCCTGGGCTGAAACTTGCAGTGCACTGGGACAGGGATGAGGCTTCCTTAAGGCCCATTTAGGGAAAGGACTGGCTCCCAGCCTGGCACAGGTCCTCAGCTCTGACTTGGTTGCCTTAGAATGAGATGTATCAGTACCTTTACCTGAAGGTAAAGGTAGGAGACTGTCCCTGCTGTTGGGAGGCTGGTCTAGGGATGGAGGACTTCACAGGTCCTCCCAGTCTGTCAGGCCTGGGCAGCACTGTCCTGTTTTAGGACTCAGAAAGTCCAGTTCTGGGATGGGACGGTGCTGCCCAGGGAGGGTGGCCAGGGTCTGACAGCAGTCCCCCAGGGAGTGACCACATCACCCAGCCGGGGTCCAGGGAGCCTGGCCTGAGACCTGCCCTGTGCACTGAGGGTGCACCTGGAGCCCACTCCACCTGATGCCCCCACAGCCCTCACAGGTCCTGACCTCCCAGCATGCACCTGC
Source organism: Homo sapiens (assembly GCF_000001405.40). Lineage (NCBI taxonomy): Eukaryota > Metazoa > Chordata > Mammalia > Primates > Hominidae > Homo > Homo sapiens. The sequence continues at coordinate 11,924,440 of NC_000022.11, forward strand.
CTCTCCCTGAATTCCAGCTGTCCACCCTGCCTGTTCCCTCACTTCCTCCATCCTGTCCAGCAGGATGGGATGGGCAGGGGGACAGCCTGTGTGCACATTTCATGGCAAGCAGGAGTGACACACCATCCCTGGGAGGCGCCTTGGTTCCTCCAAAACCCGGCCCCAGAACTCTGTCCTTGGGGTGGTTTTACCAAACCCCAAACCCAGAACTGTGGTTGTGGCTCAGGGGTCAGCACCCGCTAGTTCTACAATGTCGCCAAGGACTTTGATTGTACAATGTTCTTCTTTTCAATAGTCATTCCAAATATTGTGAGATGCATTGTTTCAGGAAGCCCCTTGCCCTCCTAAAAGCCACCCTACTTCTCTCTAAGGAGAATGGCCCAGTCCTCTCCCGAGTTCACACATGGTAGGCGATAGCATTGCTTTTGTGTAAATTACGTAATGCAAAATTTTTTAAATCTTTGTCTTAATACTTTCAAATTTTGTTTTATTTTGAATGACTAGCCTTCATGGCCCCACTTTTTTGTACCCCAACTTGGAATGTATGAAGGGTTTTGGTCTCCCTGAGAGTGGCTCAAGGCAGCCAGGGCTTACCTGTACTCTGACTTGAGAAAAGTTGGATAAAAGTGTTCACCTTAAAAAAAATTGAATGACGAAGCATTAACAAAAACAGTATTTCAGTACAGTGGACAGCTTAACATTTTGACAATTGGGAATAAAATGCTCATTTCTGAACTGTACAATGTAAGACACAAAAACAAAACACTGGAAATGGAAATTCAATTATGTCATTATAGACTGGCTACTGCTCTACATGACTGTGACCAAAGTCAGATAGTTGAAAGAGATTTCTTTCCAGAGAACAAGACACGAACAGGTTTATTTACAGAAAACAATGAATTCTCATATATCTAACCTAAAATATAGCAGATTCTTTCCGAACAAGTCTAATGTAGACAGTAAAATTAACAGGCTAAAAATTAAGCTCCATCAAACAAGATGAACTCTGAGAGAATAGATGGGGCAGGCCGCCATCTTTCCTGTTCAGGCAACTTAGTCATTCCAGCATGAGGGCTTTGGAGAGTATAAACCAACAAGGGGCAGAAGAGATCCCACAGCACAGCTAGCTGCTTTACCAAATCATGGCCAGAATGGTTCTGTAAGCAGGCCCCTGACCCTGTTGCACATCACTGTACAGGACCTCCCAAATGGGGCCTCCAGCTACCACCACCAGCATTCCTTGGCCAATAGAAATTTGAAGTGTTCATGGGACAGAGCTCCCAGAGAGAGGGGCAGGCCACCACCTTTGCTGTTTGGGTGACTAGCCATTCTGGTTTGCGGGCTTTGGAAAGCCCAAGGTGACAAGGGGTGGAAGAGGAACCTCAGCGCAGCACGGCCACACTACAAAAACGTGGCCAGACTCTTGTTTAAGTCAGTCCCTGACCACATTTCTAATCAGCAGGTGAAGCCTTTCAACCAGGGTCTCCAGCTGCCTTCACTGCTGTTCTCTGGCCGACAGAGGTTTCAGGCCTCCCTGAGTCAGAGCTCCCAGGGGGAGGACCAGACTGTTGTCTTTGCTGTTGGGGCAACTCAGCCATTTCAGCATTAGGGCTTCAGAGTGTCTGAGGCAACCAGGAGTGGAAGTGAACACACGGCATAGCACAGCTGCTCTAGAAAAACGTGCCCAGACTTTTTTTTTTTAAGTCAGTGCCTGTTTTTGTTCCTCCTGACTAGATAAGACTTCTCAACTTGTCTCCAGTCACATCTTATAGGTGTGTTCATACTGGCAACGAGTTCGTACCTCAGTGGCACAGAGCTCCCAGAGGAAGGGGCAGGCTATCATCTTCCCTGGAAAATATAAGGCAATTAGGGACTGGAGGGGACCCCCAGCATACCACAGCAGCCTGACAGAAAAGTGGCCAGACAGTCTACTTGATGGGCAGGTCCTACTGACCTGGGTCTCCAGCCAGTCCACCATCAGAGCTATCTAGCCAGCAGCAACTCAGCAATTCCCTGGACAGAGCTTCCAGGAGCAAACGAAATTCTCTCTGCCATTGCCTCTGCAGTGAAACTGCCCTTTCTACCCTCAGAATATCAAGGGAGCAAAGACCCTAAGTGCCATATTGACACCTCCAATAAGCTGCGGTTGACCCAATGAACAAGCCAGTCCATCTCCCACGGGTACCACACACCCCCCACTGCTCATCACCAGAGAGGGAACACTGGCTTGGCCTCACAACACAGACCCTCCATCCTGGGCTGATTACGCTAAGTGATTGCTAACTCACATCTCTATGGGATGGAGCACCCAGGAGACAAGCAGAGTGGTGGAGCAGCAAGTCAGGTGATGTGGAGCCCAGAGGGCAGGGACAGCTATCTCTCTAGGCTCCACGTGCCCTTGTGAGATACTTTATCCCAGCACTTTAGGAATGCTAAGTTCAGATCAGCCCCATCTCATGTTCAAGATTGCCCAGCAGAGATCAGGTCCCAGAGTTCCCCTCTTCAAAAAGGGGACTTGTTTAAAACAGAAGCCTGGCCATGTTTGTGTAAAGCAGCTATGCTGTGCCGGGGGTTCACTTTTGAGAGAGTTCTCCTCTGAGACCTGATCCCTGCTGGGCAGTCCCCTGTGCTGTCCTGCACTCTCCTGTGCTGTCAGGGCAAGTACAGCAAAACCCACATGTGGAAACACACACAGCAAAGTGATGTAGGAAGTTTCCATATAAAGGGCTGCAGTATGGAGAGGTAATGTGCAGGCTGGTGCGTGGCTGTTGGGGCCACCTTGCTGCAGCTCTCCACTGATCAGGTACAGTCCACTAGCATGGAAGCTATGCTGTGGGCATCCGAGATTGCCCTGTAAGCAGGTGTGGCCAGGCTGGGGTCCTGGGAGAGGCAAGCAGACTAAGGAGGGCTGAGGTCACACCAGCTCCATCTCATGTTCAAGAGCACCCAGCAGAATAGACCAAGCAGAGGAAAGAATCCCAGAGCTTGAAAACTGGTTTCTGAAATAAAACAGGCAGATAAGAATGGGGGAAAAAAGAAGGAAAATGAATGAACAAAACATCCAAGAAATATGAGATTATATAAACGACCAAATCTATGACTGATTAGTGTACGTGAAAGAGATGAGGAGAATGGAACCAACTTGGAAAACATACTTCAGAATATCATTCATGAGAATATCCCAAACCTATCCAGACAGGCCAACATTCCAATTCAGGAAATCCAGAGAACCTCAGTAAGATAAGCCACGAGAAGATCATCCCCAAGACATATAATCATCAGATTCTCCAAGGTCAAAATGAAAGAAACAATGTTAAAGGCAGCCAGGGAGAAAGGCAACGTCACCTGCAAAGGAAATTCCATCAGACTTAGCAGACTTCTCAGCTGAAACCCTACAAGCCAGAAAAGATATTCAACTTCTTAAAGAAAAGAAATTTCATGTAGTATGGCAGAGACAGATATACCATATAATAACATGGTGTTATTATAAATGGTTAAAAGAAAAAGAAATTTCAACCCAGAATTTCATGTCCAGCAAAATTAAGCATCATAAGTGAAGGAGAAACAAGATCCTTTTCAGACAAGCAAATGCTGAGAGAATTCATTATCACCAGATCTACCTTACAAGAGCTCCTGAATGAAGCACTAAATATGGAAAGAAAAGACCATCACCAGCCACTACAAAAATGCACCAAAGTACACAGACCAGTAATGCTAAAAACCAACCACATACACAAGTCTGCAAAATAACTAGCTGACAGCATGACGACAGGATCTAATCCACACATACCATTACTAACCTTAAATGGAAATGGGCTAAATGCTCCGATTGAAAGACACAGGGGGGCAAGCTGGATAAAGAACCAAGACCCATTTGAGTATGCCGTCTCCAAGAAACCCATCTCACATTCAGTGCCATACATAGGCTCAAAATGAAGGAATGGTGAAAAATCTTTCAAGCCAATGGAAAACAGAAGAAATCAGGTGTTACACTCCCAGTTTCGACAAAACGTATATACCAATAAAGATAAAAAAAGACAGAGAAGGACATTACAAAGGTGGTCCTGACCTTTGATAAATCTCATTATTGATTGATACCAACCTGGGCTATCTTTATTGCCCAAACCAACAGGATAATTTGCTGAGGTTGTGGAGCTTCTCCCCTGCAAAGAGTCCCTGATCTCCCAAAATCTGGTTGAGATCTAAGTTTGATTTTGCTGTACAACTCCTTTTCTGAAGTTTTACTCATTTCCAACAAGGAAGGCAAGTTTTCCTGCTTCTGTGGTGATGGAGAGCAGGCACCTCCTTTCCTGAGTTTCAGCTTGCTTCTGACAGGGAAGGTGAGTGTAAGTTGTTTCCAGCTTCTAAGATGGCAGAGAACGATCACCAGCCTGAGCCTTGTTTCCAGGTAAGTAGCTGAATTAGAGTTTTGTCTTAAAATTTTTCCTTAATGATTAAAATTTAAGATTACTCACCAGCTGCTTTTAATTTCTGCTTTTAGTTTCTCCTTACCATTAGAACACTCAGTAATCATATGAATTGTGCATTTGTTGTTTTGCTTAACTCTTTTTGTTTGTTTATGCTTGGGGCTTTATTGTTGTTGTTTCACTTTTCTCCCGTCTCTTCCTGACTTGGTCAAATCCAAAGGAATTTTCCAAATTGTGGGCAGCAAGGCCTCTGAATTGGCTAAAACTCCTATGGCTGCAAACAAACAAACAAACAAATAAACAACAACAAAAAACATTCCAGTTAGCAGAAATTATTTTTTAAAACTTTTTTTTTTTACATAAGTGGTCTCATCTACATAACAAGGCCACCCTTTTGCTAGCCAAGGCTAAACTGAAGGAGTAGTGGTGATGACCCAATGTGAAGATTCTGCCCTGTTCACTACAGAAACCTGAGTTTGGTTCCTAAGTCTAGTTCTTTCTGTTTGATATTTGTGTTACTTTTAAAGCGTCAGCAGTTTGTCCCAGCTATGATGTGGTAATAAAAGATTCAAAAGGATTTTCTTCACAAGTTCTATGATTAAAAGCTTAATTAAAAGCAAATTTCTTTTTTTTTAATTATACTTTAAGTTCTGGGGTACATGTGCAGAACATGCAGGTTTGTTACATAGGTATACACATGCCATGGTGGCTTGCTGCATCCATCAACCCATGATCTACATTAGTTATTTCTCCTAATGCCATCCCTCTCCTAGCCCCCCACCCTGACAGGCCCTGGTGTGTGATGTTCCCCTTCCTGTGTCCATGTGTTCCCATTGTTCAACTCCCAGTTATGAGTGAGAACATGTGGTGTTTGGTTTTCTGTTCTTCTGTTAGTTAGCTGAAAATGATGGTTTCCAGCTTCATTCATGTCCCAGCAAATGACGTGAATTCATCCCTTTTTATGGCTGCATAGTATTTTGTGGTGTATATATGCCACATTTTCTTTATCCAGTCTATCATTGGTGGGCATTTGGGTTGGTTCCAAGTCTTTGCTGTTGTGAACAGTGCCGCAATAAACAGACAGGTGCATGTGTCTTTATATTAGAATGATTTATAATTTTGGGGGTATATACCCAGTAATGGGATTGCTGGGTCAAATGATATTTCTGGTTGTAGATCCTTGAGGAATTGTCACACTGTCTTCCACAACGGTTGAAGTAATTTATATTCCCACCAACTGTGTAAAAGCTTTCCTATTTCTCCACATCCTCTCTAGCATCTGTTCTTTCCTGATTTTTTAACGATGACCATTCTAAGTGGTGTGAGATTGTATCTCATTGTGGTTTTGATTTCCATTTCTCTAATGACCAGTGATGATGTGCTTTGCTTCACATGTTCGTTGGCTGTATAAATGTCTTCTTTGGTAAGTGTCTGTTCATACCCTTTGCTCCCTTTTTGATGGTTTTTTTTTTCTTGTAAATTTGTTCTTTGTAGATTCTGCATATTAGCCCTTTGTCAGATGGATAGATTGCAACAATGTTCTCCCATTCTGTGGGTTGCCTGTTCACGCTGATAATAGTTTCTTTTGCACTGCAGATACTCTTAAGTTTAGTTAGATCCCATTTGTAAATTTTGGTTTTTGTAGCCATTGCTTTTGGTGTTCTAGTGATGAAGACTCTGCCCATGGCTATGTCTTGAATGGTATTGCCTAACACAAGGACATTTCTGTGCCTGAGTGCTATACCACCCAAAGTAATTTATAGACTCATTGCTGTCCCCATCAAGCTACCATTACTTTCTTCACAGAATTAGAAAAACTACTTTAAATTTCATATGGAACCAAAAAAGAGCCCATATAGCCAAGAAAATCCTAAGCAAAAACAGCAAAGCTAGAGGCATCACAGTACCTGACTTCAAATTATTCTACAAGGCTACAGTAACCAAAACAGCATGGGGCTGGTACCAAATCAGATCTATAGACCAATGGAACAGAACAGAGGCCTCAGAAATGACACCACACATCTAAAAGCATCTGATCTTTGACAAACCTGACAAAAACAAGCAATGGGAAAGGATACCCTATTTAATAAATGGTGTTGGGAAAACTGGCTAGCCAAATGCAGAAAACTGAAACTGGGCCACACCCATAAACCTTAAACAAAAATTAAGTAAGATGGATGAAAGAGTTAGAAGTAAGACCTAAAACCACAAAAAATCTAGAAGAAAACCTAGGCCACCAAACTCAGGGGAAATGACCTGTAGTGAAATGCATGGTACAAACATGCATTCCCTGCTTCCTTGAGTGGGCAACGTTGATGGCTAGTCCAACCACTTCAGGCACACCCTTGCAAACGCGGCTGGTTGCTTTTTGAGCCAGCTTGGCCTTGCCCGGCATACACAAGCCTCAATGCAACAACTGTGCTAAAAATGGAGCCACACAGAGGAAATGAGCAGCAAGCTCAGAAGCAGGGTGTGCACTGCCTTTGGGGCTCCAGTCCATGCCTCAGGGCTTGTATGGGACTGCAGGATTCTTGGTTGCCAAGAGGTAGATCATAGACCAGCCGAGGAGGACTTTATGTTCAAGGGCAGAAAGCAGCCAGGTTTACCACCCAGGGGACTCGGCCTTCTGTGGCCCCGGCCAGACTTAGAATTTGGCTCAAAGCAGGACCAGCTCACTCGGAGTAGTGTGTCAGTAGCTGGGGCCTGTACATGCTAGGCAAGGCTAAGCTGGCTCAAAGAGCAACCAGCTACCACTGCAAGGGTGCTTCTGGAGGAGGTGGAGCAGCCAGCAACCTCAGCTACACAAGGAAGCAGGGATGGCCAGGTTCCCACAGCATGAGTGGCCACCGCCTGATGGCTGATCAAGCAGAGGCCTGAGGAAAAGCAGATGTCAGTTGGGCCCTACCTCTAGGGTAGAAGAACTGATGTACCCTGACCAGTAGTGAGTGAGGTTGGTGGTGGGTCCACTGGCTCCTGGCACACCCTTGCAGAGGAGGCTGTTTGCTCTTTAAGGCAGCTTGGCCTTGCCTGGCATGCACAGGCCCCAGGTACTGACACGCTGCTCCCAGTGAACTTGTTCTGCCTTGGACCAAATTCTAAGTGGCTTGGAGTTTGCCCAGCATGCACAAGCCTCAGTGTAATAACTGTGCAACAAACAGAGCCACATAGACGAAACGAGCAGCAGGCTCAGAAGCAGGGTGTGCCCTGCCTTTGGGGCTCCAGTCAATGCCTCAGGGTTCCTATGGCACTGCGGGTTTCTTGGTTGCCTAGCTGCAGACCACAGGCTGTCTTGAGGAGGACTTTATGTTCAAGTGCAGAAAGTAGTCAGGATTACCATCCAGGGGACTCTGCCTTCTGTGGTCCTCTCCAGACTTAGAATTTGGCCCAAGGCAGGACAAGCTGACTCAGAGAAGAGTGTCAGTACCTGGGGCCTATGCATGCCAGGCAAGGCCAAGCTGGCTCAGAGCAACCAGCCACCTCTGCAAGGCTGTGCCTGTAGCAGGCAGACAAGCCAGCAACCTCACCCACTCAAGGAAGCCCGGATGGCGAGGTTCCAACAGCATGAGTAGCTGCCACCTGATGCCTGATGGAGCAGAGGCCTGAGGAAAAGCAGGTGGCATATTTAACTCTTTAATCAATCTTAAGTTAATTTTTGTATAAAGCAGATGGCACTAGTCCATGCCTCATGGCTCATATGGCACTGCAGGCCACAGAAGGGCGAGTACCCAGGGTGGTAATCCTGCCTGCTTTCTGCACTTGAACATAAAGTCCTCCTCAAGATGGCCTGTGGTCTGCCTCTTGGCCCCACCTTTAGGGTAGAAAAACTGATGTACCACGTCTGGCAGTGAGTGAGATTGGCGGCTGGTCCATCTGCTCCTGGCACATCCTTGCAGAGGTGGCTGCTTGCTCTTTGAGCCAGCTTGGCCTTGCCTGGCATGCACAAGCCTCACTGCAACAAGTGTGCTACAAATGGAGCCATATAGAGGAAATGATCAGCAGACTCAGGAATGGGGCGTGCACTGCCTTTGTGGCTCCAGTCCATGCCTCAGGGCTCGTATGGCACTGTAGGCTTCTTGGTCTTCAAGAGGCAGAACACAGGCTGTCTTGAGGAGGACTTTATGTTCAAGTGCAGAAAGCAGCCAAGATTAGCACCCAGGGGACTGGGCCTTCTGTGGACCTGGCCAGACTTAGAATTTGACCCAAGGCAGGACAAGCTGACTCGGAGCAGAGTGTCAGTACCTGGGGCCTATGCATGCCAGGCAAGGCCAAGCTGGCTCAGAGCAACTGGCCACATCTGCAAGGCTGTGCCTGTAGTAGGCGGACAAGCCAGCAACCTCAGCTACTCAAGGAAGGAGGGATGGCCAGGTTCCCACAGCCTGAGTGGTTGCCGTCTGATGACTGATAGAGCAGAGGCCTGAGGAAAAGCATATGGCACTGTGGCCCTACCTCTAGGGTAGAATAACTGATGTAACCTGACCAGCAGTGAGTGAGGTTGGTGGCCGGTCCACCGGCTCCTGGCACAACCTTGCAGAGGTGGCTGGTTGCTTTTTGAGCCAGCTTGGCCTTGCCCAGCATGCACAAGTCTGTGCAACAACTGTGACACAAATGGAGCCACACAGAGAAAATGAGCAGCAGGCTCAGGAGCAGGGTGTGTGCTTCCTCAGGGGCTCCAGTCCATGCCTGAGGATTCATATGGCACTGCGGGCTTCTTGGTTGCAAAGAGGTAGACCACAGGCCATCTTCAGGAGGTCTTTATGTGGAAGTGCAGAAAGCAGCCAGGATTACCACCCGTGGGACTCGGCCTTTTGTGGCCCTGGCCTGACAGAATTTGGTCCAAAGCAGTACAAGCTCACTCAGAGCAACATGTCGGTACCTGGAGCCTGTGCATGCTAGGCGAGGCCAAGCTGGCTCAAAGAGCACCCAGAGCATCCATTCTGGTGGATGAGCCAACCACATGGCCAGCTTCTGGGTGTGGGCACAGTGCCACATCTTCCATCACTTTCTGATATATCCCACCACCACTGAAGAGACAGCCTGGAGAGAGTGCAAGAGGAAGGCTGAGAAGGATGAGATAGTGAGCGCTGGCTTCTTTCTGACCCTCAGCACACCCCCAGGTGGTGACCATCAACCTTTAGGGGTGGGAGAGCAAGATTGATGGCTTCAAATGGTTCCCCAAGAAGATGGACACACGCCACTCAGTTCAACCTCACAGCCAATGAGTTGACAAGCAAGCAGATGACAGTGACAGGCTTTTAGAAAGAGCATCAGAAGGTGGCCAGTTTTTCTTCAGCCTCAGCCAGGCCTTGGAACTTGACTAGGCCATCCACTTCACCAGAGATGCCTTCAAGAACATCAGTAACTTCCTTGCCAGTCAGTCCAGGAAGGACCTGGACCCAGCCATGGACCTGTTAGTGCTGTCTCAGGGACACAAGACAAACATCCTGGACATCATCCACATACACAAGGAAGCTCTTACCAAAGTCACGGAGAACAGACAACATGTGGCAGAAGGGAAGACAGAGGTGCAGAGGCTGATGGCGTCATTATCACAGGAACAGGATTTCTTTGGCCACTTTGGCTGAAATTTACCACTTCCATCCAATTCACTCAAGTGAGAGACTTGAAATCACAGATGGAGCATTTCTTGCAACAAGAGATACTATTTTTTCAAAGAGTCACCTAAAATTTGATAGTGTTGAATGACTAGCTATTCGATTGTGGACTTTTTCCAGTTCACGGGTACTTTCTACAGCAGAATGATAACAGTATCAAAGAGCTGGTGCCAGCTATCGGTGGTAGTACAAGGATGACTTTGTGCTCAACTGAAACCCAGCTGAATATAGAATTGTGTAGGAAAGTGTTAATATGGTGATAGAATAGAAACAGTAGCAAATGAACTAAATCATACTATGAATGCCTACACTACCATTATAACTTTTTGAAGAATGATAATACCACTTACTTTATTGCCTTTTGAAGTAGGAATATTTTAGTGGATATCCTATAGATCTGAAACCCTATAAAGAATCCCAAAGAAGCTGGCTGGATAAAGCCTGCTATGGATGTCTTTATACTCAAAGACTGATGAGGCAATTCGAATATGTATCCCCACCAAATCTCATGTTGAGTTATGCTTCCTAATGTTGGAGGTGGATCCTGGTATAAGGTGACTGAATCATGAAGGCAAATTTCTCATGAGTGGTTCAGCACCATCCCCTTGGTACTGTCCTCACAATCATGAGTGGCTTCTCGTGAGATCTGGCCACTGAAAACTCTATATCACTCCCTACTCTCCGTGATTTCCTCTTGCCATGTGAGACAATTCACTCTTTCATTACCTTGCACAATGATTGAAAGATTTCTGAGCCCCCCCAGAAGCAGAAGCACTAAGCTTCCTGTCCACTCTGCAGAACCATGAGCCAATTAAACCTCTTTTTCAAAATAAATCTTACCAAAAATGGCAAATGAGGACTGGAGCATTGCTATAAAGATACCTGAAAATGTGGAAGCAACTTCGGAACTGGGTAATGGGTAGAGGTTGGAAGAGTTTGGAGGGCTCCAAAGAAGACAGACAGATGAGAACATTTTTGGATCATCTTAGAGACTGGTTAAATGGCTGTGACAAGAATGCTGACAAAAACATGGACAGTGAAGGCCAGGCTGAGGGGGCTTCAGATAAAAATAAGAAGCTTTCTGGAAAATGTCTCTCTTTTGGATATGGAAAGCTTACACAATGCCTGTACCATCATTGTACCTTAGACGCAGTGAACTTGCTTTTTATTTCAGAGACTCGTAGGCAAAAGAGAATGTAGCCTTGACCCAGATGAGACTTTGCATTTTGTAACTTTGAGTTAATGCTGAAATGAGTTAAGACTTTGGGAGACTGCTGGCAAGGCATGACTGTATCTTGCAATGTGAGAAGGACATGAGATTTGTGGGGTCAGGGACAGAATAATACGGTTTTTCTCTATGCCCCTTCCAAAACTCATGTGAAAGTACACTCCCTAATGTTAGAGTCGGGGCCTAGGTGGAAAAAGCTTTAATCATAAAGGTGTGGGAGTGGATCCTTCACAAATGGCAAAGCACCAAGCCCTTAATGCCATCCTCCTGATAGTGAGTGAGTTCTCATGAGATCTAGTAGTTTAAAAGGCTGTGGAACCTCTTTCCTCTCTCTGTCTTGTTCCAACTTTTGCCATATGAAACATGTCATTGCCGCTTGGATTTCCGGTGTGGTTAGGAGGGGCCTGATCAGTGTGGGCCTGGTCAGTGGACCTAGGTCAGTGAGGACTATTTAGTGGGATCGTGGTCAGCAGGGGTCTGCTTAGAGAGGGTCTCATTAGTGGGGTCTAGTAGTGGGAGTTTTGGTGAGTGGGGACCTATTGGCTGCCAGTTGTTTGGTGTCTGGTCAGTGCAAACCTGGGCTGTGGGGCTTGATCAGTGGAGACCTGGTCAGCTGGGGCTTAGTGCTGGCCTGGTCAGCATGGGCTGGGGCACTGGTGACCAGGTCAAGGGGTGCTATTCAGTGGAGGACTGGGCACATGGGACCTAGTCAGCAGACCCTGGTGGGCGTGTCCTCATCAGTGAGGCCCTTGTCAGTGGGGCCCTGGTCAGGGCAGCCTTGTCGGTGGGACCTAATCTGTAGTGTCCTGGTCAGAGAGGACTTGGTCAGTGGTGACTTTTGTAGCACCGGTCTACAGGGTGACCTGGTCAGCGGGGATCTCAGCATTTGGTGCTGGTTCAGTGGGGTCTACTCACTAGGGTCCCAGTCAGGGGCATCTGGTGACATAAGGCCTCGTTATTAGGGGCCTGATCGGTGGCAACCTGTTCCCTGGAGGCCTGGTCAGTGGGGCCTCATCTTTGGGGCCAGGGAATGAGGTCATGATCAGTGGAACCTGATCAGTGAGGCCTTGTCAATAATGACCTAGTCAGTGAGGACTTGTCAGTAAGGACTTGGTCCGTGAGGCCTTGTCAGTGAGGCCTTGTCAGTAAGGTCCTGGTCGGTGGAGTCCTTGTCATTGTGTGCCTGGCAGTGGGGGCCTTGTTAGTGGGGCCTGGTCATGAGGGTCTAATCAGTGAGGGTGTCATCAGGGAGGACCTGATGTGCAGGGTCTGGTCAGCAGGGACCTGGTCAATGTGGGCTGCTGAGCACTGCTTGGATAAGCCAGGTGCAAAGTGCATTATTGAAGGCCCTGTGGACAGCTGGGATAGCCCAGTGATGCCCAAGGGCCTAGTCAGAAGTGGACAAAGCACGTATTTGGATGGACTTGGGAGATCCTGCTCAGAGATTCTGACAGGACAAAGGTAAAGGAAGAGCCAGAGTGGCTGGAGAGATGGTCACAGTCTATGGGCTGCACAGGATGGAGGAGGCCAGGGAACAGGCAGGGTGGGCAGTTGGGGTTCAGGGAGAGGCAGGTGCATGCTGGGAGGTCAGACCCTGTGAGGGCTGTGGGGGCGTCAGGTTGGGTAGGCTCCAGGCACTCTCACTCACATAGGATTCCAGAACACTGCTACAAGGCTCTGAGTGTTTGTCCCTCACATAGGATTCCAGAACACTGCTGCCATTGTCTGAATGTTTGTCTCCCACATAGGATTCCAGAAGCCTGCTGCTGGGGTCTGAATGTTTGTCCCCCATCTAGGATTCCAGAACACTGCTGCGAGGGTCTGAATGTATGTCCCTCACATATGATTCTAGAATATTGATGCTAGGGTCTGTATGTTTGCCCTTAACATATGATTTCAAAACACTGCTCCTGGATTCTGAATGTTTGTCCTTCACATAGGAATACAGAACACTGCTGCTGGAGTCTGAATGTTTGTCACTCACATAGAATTCCAGAACACTACTGCGAGGATCTGAATGTTTGACCCTCACATGGGATTCCAGAACACTGCTGCGAGGGTCTAAATGTCTGTCCCTCACATAGGTTCCCAGCACAATGTTACAAGGTTCTGAATGTTTGTCCCTAACATAGGATTTCAGAGCACTCCTGCTGTGCTCTGAATGCTTCTCCCTCACATAGGATTCCAGAACGCTGCTATGAGGGTCTGAATGCTTATACCTCATATAGGATTCCAGAACACTCCTGCTGTGGTCTGAATGTTTGTCCCTCACATAGGATTCCAGAACATTCATGCTGGGGTCTCAATGTTTCCCTTAACATAGGATTTCAGAACACTGCTCTTGGGGTCTGAATGTTTGTCCCTCACATAGGATTACAGAACACTGCTGCTGGAGTCTGAATGTTTGTCAGTCACATAGAATTCCAGAACACTGCTACAAGGGTGTGAATATTTTTCCCTCACCTAGTATTCCAGAACACTGTTGCAAGGGTCTGCATGTTGGTCCATCATATAGGATTCCAGAACACTGCTGCTGTGGTCTGAATGTTTGTCCCTCCCATAGATTTCCAGAACACTGCTACAAGGGTCTGAATGTTTGTCCTTCACATACCATTCCAGAACACTGCTGCCGTGGTCTGAATGTATGTCCCTCACATAGGATTCCAGAACACTGCTACTAGGTTCTGAATGTTTTTCCCACACCTAGGATTCCAGAACACTTCTGCTGGTGTCTGAATGGTTGTCCCTCACATATGATTCCAGGACACTGCTATGAGAGTCTTAATGTTTGTCCTTCACATAGAATTCCAGAACACTGCTCCCATGGTCTGAATGTTTGTCCCTCACATAGCATTCCAGAACACTGTTACAAGGGTTTGAAAGTTTGTCCCTCACATAGGATTCCACAACACTACTGCTGGGGTCTGAATGTTTGGCCCTCACATAGGATTCTAGAACACTCCAGCTGGCTTCTGAGTGTTTGTCCCTCACATAGGATTCCTGAAGACTGCTGCTGTCGCTATAGTCGTTGTGAGTGTCTGAATGTTTGACCTTCAACAAACACCAAATATCCTGGCCCTTTAGTCTTGGACTTTCCAGCCTCCAGATCTGTGAGCAATAATCTCTGTTGTTTATGAATTACTCAGTCTGAAGTATTTTGTTATAGTAGCCTAAAGAGACTAAGAGAGCATCACCTGCCCTGTCACCTCATCACCGCATTACTGAAGCTATACTAACAGCAGTCACTTTCCGTGGGTGCTTCATGCATGAGAATAAAGGGAAAAAATTGCAAGGCATACTAAAATCCAAAAAAAGAAAAAAAATATAATTTGTGTCAACAGAGCAAGCTTCAGAAGTAGACAAAGATATGATTTTGGAATTTTTTTTAAACCTCTGGAGAATATGCTAAGGGCCTAATGAATGAAGTAGACAGTATTCAAGTGTAGATGGGTAATGTTGTCAGAAAGACAAACATCGTAAGAACTTTCAACATAATGTAGTGATGAAAAACGTGGTAAATAACTGAAGAATACCTCTGATGGCTTATTAGTAGACTGGACTCAGCTGAGTAAAAATCTCTGAGCTTGAGGATTTATCACCAGAAACTTCAAAAACTAAAGAAAAGAAACACTGAAAAGAACAGAAGATGATATTCAAGACTGTGGGACAACTACAAAAGGTGAAACAGAGTAATGAGAATACCAGGAGGAGAAGAAATAGAAGAAAGTTCTGCAACAACCATGTCTGAGAACTTCCAGTATTAATGTCAGACACCAAACCAAAGATCCAGGAAGCTCCGAGAACACCAGGCAGAATAAATGCCAACAACATACACTTGGACATATAATTTTCAAACTATATGAAATAAAAGATAAAGGAAAACTCTGAAAGAAACCAGAGGTGGGGCAGAAAACACCTTACCTACAGAGACACAAAGATAAGAACTGCATTCAACATTGCAGAAACTGTGAAAGTAAGAAGACAGTGAAATGAAAAATTCAAAAGGTTGACAGAAAAAAAACCCACCAACCTAAGTTTCTGTACCCACTGAAAACACCCTTCAAAAGTGAAGGAGAATTAAGGCCTTCCTCAGAAAAATAAAAATTCAAGAAACTTGTTGCCAGGAGACCTGTCTTGCAAGAAATGTTAAATGAAATTCTTTAGGGAAACAAAAGATATGTAACTGAAACCTGGATCAACATTTTTTTAAAAAGAGCATTAAAGAAAGAATTGTGGTACAATAAAAACCTGTGTATTTATTCTTAATTGATCTGACCAAGAAGTTCATAGACAATAACAAATACACACAGATAGATTATGTATGCTTATACACAATTGAAATGAGTAACATTAATACAAGGAATGGAATGGAAGGATGGGAGGGAGGCATTGTGGTACAATAAAAACATGTATTTATTCATAATTGATCTGACCAATAAGTTTGTAGATAATAATAAATACACACAGATAGATTATGCATGCTTATACACAAGTGAAATAAGGAACAATAATACAAGGAATGGAATGGAAGGATGGGAGGGAGGAATCAGATGTTTTCTTTGTTAAGCAGGTAGTCACGCGTGAAGTGGGATAGTGTTATCTGAAAGTGGACTTGAATTGGTTGTAAATGTATATTGAGGAATTAGGTGTGTTCTTTGTTAAGCAGGTAGTCTTATTTGTGGGATAGTGGGATAGTGTTATTTGAAAGTGGACTTGAATTTGTTGTAAATGTTACTGAGGAATTAGGTGTTTTGTTTGTTAAGCAGGTAGTCTTATTTGTGGGATAGTTGGATAGTGTAATTTGAAAGTGGACTTGCATTGGTTGTAAATGTATATTGCAAATTCTGTGGCAACTAGTTAAAAAAGGTTTTAAAAAGAGAAGTACATGCTAAGAAAGACAGGGAAAATGTAGTCATCTAAAATCATCAATGAAAACTGCGAAAGGGAGAAAAAGAGTGGTAGACAAAAGAATGAAGACTGAGGAGAATGAATAGAAAACAGTAACAAATATAGTAGATATTAATCCAATGATATCAATAATCACTTTGAATGTTAATGGTATGAATGTACCAATTCAAAGGTAGAGATTGTCACAGTCTATCAAAAGACAGACACATCTTGTTTCACTGCACTTTGCTTTATTGTGTTTTGTGACCATGTGTTTTACATATTGAAGGTTTGTGGCCACCCTGCAATAAGCAGGTCTGACTGGCACCATTGTTCCTACAGCACGTGCTCACTTCACGTCTCTGTGTCACATTTCGGTCATTCTCACAGTATTTTGAGATTTTTATTATTGAATCTGTTGTGGTGATCTGTAATCAGTGATCTTTAATGCTACTGTTGTCATTGTTTTGGGAACCACAAATCACACCAGGATAAGACAGCAAACAATTGACATGCGTTTGTTCTGACTGCCCAACCAATGGGCCATTTCTCTTTCTCTTTTTCTCAGGCTTCTTTTTATTAATATTAAAATGTGGCCAATTAATAACCCTACAATAGCCTCTATATGTTCATGAAAGAAGAGTTGCATGTCTGTCACTTTAAACCAAAAGGAAGAAATAATTAAGCTTAGTGAGGAAGGCATGCTGTAAGCAAGACAGGCCAGTAGCTAGACCTCATGCAACAAACACTTAGCCAAGTTGTGAATGCAAACGAAGTGTTCTGGAAAGAAATTTAAAGTACTGCTCCAGTGAACACATGAATGATAAAAAGCTAAACAACCTTGCTGCTGTTATGAAGAAAGTTTAATTGGTCTAGATAGAAGATGAAAAAAAAACAAAAAACATTCCATTAAGCTTAAGCCTAACTCTCCTTTTACTTTTTTTTCTTTATTTTTGAGACAGAGTTTCATTCTTCTTGCCCAAGCTGGAGTGCAATGGCATGATCTTGGCTCATCGCAACCTCTGCCTCCCAAGTTCAAGCCATTCTCCTGCCTCAGCATCCCGAGTAGCTGGGATTACAGGCATGCACCACCACACCTGGCTAATTTTTTGTATTTTTAGTAGAGATGGGGTCTCTCCACGTTGGTCAGACTGGCGTCGAACTCCCGACCTCAGGTGATCTGCCTGCCTCGGCCTCGCAAAGTGCTAGGATTACAGGTGTGACAGCCACTGCACCTGGCCTCTCTTCAATTCTATGAAGACTTAGAGTGGTGAGGCAGCTGCAGAAGGAAAGTCTGAAGCTAGAAGAGCTTGTTTCTTGAGGTTTAAGGAAAAAAGTCATCTCCATAACATAAAAGCGCAAGATAAAGCAGCAAGTACTGATGGAAAAGCTGCAGAAAGCTATCTAGAAGATAACTGATTAAGATGGCTACACTAAATAGATTTGCAATGGAGACAAAACAGCCTTCTACTAGAAGGAGATGCCATCTAGGATGTTCCCAGCTAGAGAGGAGTTGATGCCTGGCTTTAAGGCTTCAAAGGACATGCTGACTCTTTTGTTAAGGGCTAATGCAGTTGGTGATGTTAACTTGAAACCAATGATGATTTACTATTCTGAAAATCCAAGGGCCCTGAAGAATTATGATAAAACACAGCTCTGTCTGTACTCTACAAATGGGAACAAAGCCTGGATGACAGACTATCGGTTTACAAATACGGTTTACTGAATATCTTAAGCCCACTGTTGACACCTACTGCTCAAGAAATAAGATTCCTTTCAAAGTATTACCGCTCACTGACAATGCCCCTGGTACTCAAGGGCTTTTACAGAGATGTATAAAGAGCAGAATATTGTTTTCATGCCTACTAAACCAACATTCATTCTGGTGCCCTTGGATCAAAGAATAATTTGAACTTTCAAGTCTTATCACTTAAAAAATATATTTCATAAAGCTATAGCTTCTCTAGAAAGTGATTCCTTTGATGGATCTGGGCAAAATAATTGAAAACCTACTGGAAAGGATTCACCATTTTAGATGCCATTGAGAACATTCATGATTTAAAAAATAAGATCAAAATAGCAACATTAAGAGAAGTTGGGGCCAGGCGTGGTGGCTCACACTTGTAATCCCAGCATGTTGGGAGGCCAAGGAACGTGGATCACGAGGTCAGGAATTTGATACCAGCCTGGCCAACATAGTGAAATCCTGTCTGTACTAAAAACACAAAAAAATTAGCTGGGCCTGGTCGGGGTGACCGTAATCCCAAACACTTGGGAGGCTGAGGCAGAATTGCTTGAACCTGGGAGATGGAGGTTGCAGTGAGCTGAGATCGCATCACTGCACTCCAGCCCAGGCAAGACTTCATCTCAAAAAAAAAAAAAAAAAAGAGAGAGAGAGAAGTTGGGAAGATTATTCCAACCCTCACAGATGACACAGGGGTTCACGACTTCTGTGGAGGAGGTAACTGCAGATATGGTGGAAATAACAAGAGCACTAGAATCAGAGACAGAGCCTGAAGATCTGGCGAGACTGCAGAAGCCTCTGGAGAAAACGTGAGTGGATGAGTTGCTTCCACGGATGAGCAAAGAAAGTGGTTTCTTGAGATGAAATCTACTCGTGGTGAAGACAGTGTAAACAATGTTGAGATGACAACAGATTTAGAATAAACTTAGTTGGTACAGCAGAAGGAGGGCTTGACAGAATTGAACCCAATGATTTACAATAATACATAAACTTAGTTGGTACAGCTGTACGAAGGTTTGACAGGATTGAATCGAATTTTGAAAGTTCTACTGTGGGTAAAAAGCTATCAAACAACATCGTATGCTACAGATAATTCTTTTGTGAAAGGGAGAGTCAATTGACACAGCAAACTTCAATGGTGTCTTATTTTAAGAAATTGCCACAGCCACCCCAACGCTCAGCAACCACCACCTTACATTAAGGCAAGACCCTCCATCAGCAAGAAGACTGAAACTTGGCCAGGTGCAGTGGCTCACACCTGTCATCCCAACACCTTGGGAGGCCAAGGTGGGTAGATTGCTTGAGCCCAGGAAGTCAAGGCAACATGGCAAAACCCCATCTCTACAAAAAAAAAAAAAAAATACAAAAATTAGCTGGACACGGTGGCATGCATCTGTAGTTCCAGCTAGTCAGGAGTCTGAGGTGGGGGTTTGATTGAGCATGAGGTTGAGGCTGCAATTACTCCAGCCTGAGCCACAGAGTAAAACCCTGTCACGCACACAAGAAAAGATTGCAGCTTTCTGAAGGCTCAGATGACTGTTAGCACTTGTTAACAATAAAGTATTTGTAAATTAAAGTGTGAACACTTTGTAGACATATGCTATTGCACACTTTATACAGCACAGTATAAACATACTTTTACATGCACTGGAAAACCAAAAGAAATTGTATAACTCACTTTATTGCAGTGGTCTGGAACCAAACCCACATATATCTCTGATGCATGGCCGTCCTGTATTGTACACTTAAAATAAAACTTAAGAGGGTATATTTTAGGTGAAATGGTCATCTCATTTTTTTTTTTTTTTTTGAGACGGAGTCTCACTCTGTTGCCCAGGCTGGAGTGCAGTGGAACGATCTCAGCTCACTGCAAGCTCTGCCTCCCGAGTTCGCACCATTATCCTGCCTCAGTCTCCCAAGTAGCTGGGACTACAGGTGCCCGCCATCACGCCCAGCTAATTTTCTGTATTTTTAGTAGAAACGGGGTTTCACTGTGTTAGCCAGGATGGTCTTGATCTCCTGACCTCGTGATCCACCTGCCTCGGCCTCGCAAAATGCTGGGATTACAGGCGTGAGCCACCACTCCCGGTCTCATTTTTTAAAAAGGGTGAGAATGAGAAATATATGGGGAGTGATGGTCAAGTTTACGGCATTATTTGTTGTGATGAGTCCTGGGGCAAATACTTATCTCTAAACTCATTAAGATGTATATATTCGGTGTCACACGCCTGTAATCCCAGCACTTTGGGAGACCGAGGCAGGTGGATCATCTGAGGTCAGGAGTTCGAGACCAGCCTGGCCAACATGATGAAACCCTGCCTGTACTAAAAAAATACAAAAATTAGCCGGGTGTAGGGGTGCACGCCTGCGATCCCAGCTATTCAGGAGGCTGAGGCAGGAGAATTGCTTGAACCCGGGAGGCGGAGGTTGCAGTTAGCTGAGATCATGTCACTGCACTCCAGCCTGGGCAACAAGAGTAAAACCTCCGTAACACACACACACACACACACACAAAGGTATATATTAAATATGTGTAATTTTTGTATGTCAACCACACTTTAGTTTTATTTTATTTTTTTTTTAAGACAGAGTCTTGCTCTGTCACCCAGGCTGGAGTCCAGTGGTGCAATCTCAGCTCACTGCAAGCTCCACCTCCCAGGTTCACACCATTCTCCTGCCTCAACTTCCGGAGTAGCTGGAACTACAGGCACCCGACACCACGCCCAGCTAATTTTTTGTATTTTTAGTAGAGATGGCGTTTCACTGTGTTAGCCCGGATGGTCTCGATCTCCTGACGTGATCTGCCTGCCTCAGCTTCCCAAAGTGCTGCGATTACAGGTGTGAGCCACCGTGCCCAGACAATTTTTATTTTTTTGAGACAGAGCCTCACTCTGTCACCCATGCTGGAGTGCAGTGGCACTATCTTGGCTCACTGCAACCTCTGCCTCCCATGTTCAAGCAATTCTGCTGCCTCAGTCTCCTGAGTAGCTGGAATTACAGATGTATGCTATCACGCCTGGCTAATTTTTTGATTTTTAATAGAGATGAGGTTTCACCATGTTGGCCAGGCTGGTCTCAAACTCCTGACCTCATGTGATCTGCCCACCTCAGCCTCCCAAAGTGCTGGGATTACAGGTGTAAGCCACTGCATCTGGCAATTTTTAAATATATATAATTAAAAATTAATAAAAAACAGGTATTTGCAAGTTTTCGTTTTGTTATATGCTTATTATTCTTTATCTTTACATCAGGTTGCTGTGTCAATACACTTAGGAGATCATAGTTTCTAAATTGAAATACAAATAAATATGTCTGAAATTTTTTCTTTTTTCTTTTTTTTTTTTGAGATGGACTCATTCTGCCACCCAGGCTGGAGTGCAGTGGTGCAATCTCAGCTCACTGCCACCTCCGCTTCCCAGATTCAAGTGATTCTCCTGCCTCAGCCTCCAGAGTAGCTGGGATTACAGGCACCCGCCATGACACCCAGCTAGCTTTTATAAATTTTTTTTCTATTTTTAGTAAAGACAGGGTTTCACCATGTTGGCCAGGCTGGTGTCCAACTCCTGACCTCAGATGATCCTCCCGCCTCGGCCTCCTCAAGTGCTGGGACTACAGGTGTGAGCCAGTGTGCCTGGCCTGGAATTTTTTTCTAAAATTTACATTTCTGAGTTAAGAATGCTTAAAATATTATAAAAACAGAAGCACAATTCATTATGTGTTTCATTAATTACCTCTATTAAAAACAACACAATTATATTACAATAGGACAAAAAAATGTTTAAGCAAATGAAAACAAAACCATGACATACCCAAACTCAGGAGGAGGCAACAAAGGCAGTGCTAAAGGGAAGCTTACAGCTGCAGATGCTTAAATTAAAAAGAAGAAAGATCTCAAACCCATGGTAAAGGGAAGCTTACAGCTGCAGATGCTTAAATTAAAAAGAAGAAAGATCTCAAACCCATGGTAAAGGGAAGCTTACAGCTGCAGATGCTTAAATTAAAAAGAAGAAAGATCTCAAAGCCATGCTAAAGGGAAGCTTATAGTTGCAGGTGCTTAAATTAAAAAGAAGAAAGATCTCAAATCAATAACCTAACATTACACCTAAAGGGGAAAAAAAAAAAAAACTAATGACAAACCAAGCAAAAGGAAGAAAGTAACAGATTAGAATAGAGATAAGCAGAATAAGATCAGAAAAAAAGGAAAAAAAAAACACTGAGTTTGTTTTTTTAAAGATCAATAAAAATTTTAAAACTCACAGCTATATTAAGAAAAAAAGAGAAATCTCAAATACTAAAATCATAAATAAAAGAGGTGACAGTACAACAGATTCCACAGAAATGAAAAAGATTACAAGAGACAAATGTGAGCAACCATATGCCACAAAACTGGACAACCTAGAATAAATTTATAAATTCCTAGAAACACAAACCACCATACTGCATCATGGAGAAATAAAAAATCCAAAGAGACCTGTAACTAGTAAGAAGATTCAACCAGTAATCAAAAACCCCCCAAAAAAGAAAATTCCAGGTCCAGATAACTTCACTGGAGAATTTTACCAAACATTTCAAGAAGAATTAATGCCAGTCCTTTGCAAAATATTCCAAAAATGTACAAAAACCAGAAGGGGACATTCCAATCCATTCTATCAGGTCAACATTTATCTGGTTCCAGAGCCAGATGAACACCTTTTGTAATAAAAACACTCAAAGAATTAGTAATATAAGGAAACTCCTCAGTAAATAAAGATTATACATGAAAAGCTCACAGCTAACATCATACTGAATGGTGAAAAACTAAAATCTTTTCCTCTAGGATCAGGAATAAGATAGCAACATCTCTTCCTGCCACTTCTATTCACCACAGTACTGGAATTTCTACTCAGAATAATTAGGCAAGAGAAAGTAATAAAAAGCATGCAAATTGGAAAGGAAAAAGTACAAAATTTTGTTCACAGACAACATGATGTAATGTGTAAAAATCCTGAAATTCCACAAAATACTGGTAGAATAATGAAATTCAACAAAGTTTCAGGATACAGTAACACACACAAGTCAGTTGCATTTCTATAAACTAACAATGAACAATCTGCAAATAAAATTTTAAAAAGAGGCCAGGTGCAGTGGCTCACAGTTGTAATCCCAGCACTTTGGGAGGCCAAGGCGGGTGGACCACCTGAGGTCAGGAGTTCGTGACCAGCTGGGTCAACCCCATCTCTAATATAAATAGTAAAACTCTATCTCTGTTAAAAATACAAAAATTAGCTGGGCATAGTGGCAGACACCTGTAGTCCCAGCTACCTGGGAGGCTGAGGCAGGAGAATTGCTTGAACTTGGAAGGTGGAGGTTGCAGTCAGCTGAGATTGTGCCACTGTGCTCCAGCTTAGGAAACAGAGTGAGACACCGTCTCAAAAAAAAGAAAGAAAGGAAAGAAAGAGAGAGAAAGAAAAGAAAATAAAAGAAAAGAAAAGAAAAGAAAGAGAAAACAAAAGAAAAGAAATTTTTAAAAAGAATGACATTTGGCTGGGTGCGGTGGTTCATGCCTGCAATCCCAGCAGTTTGGGAGGCCGAGGCGGGCAGATCACCTGAGGTCACAAGTTCAAGACTAGCCTGGTCAACATGTAGAAACACTGTCTCTACTAAAAATACCAAAAAGTTAGCTGGGCATGGTGGCGGGCACCTGTGATCCCAAGTCCTTGAGAGGCTGAGGTTGGAGAATCGCTTGAATAAGGAAGGTGCAGGTTGCAGTGACCTGAGATAGTGCCACTGCACTCCAGCCTGGGAGACAGAGCAAGACTCCATCTCAAAAAAAAAAAAAAAAAAAAAAAGAATTATATTTACAACAGCATTATAAAAATTAGAAATAAGCTTAACCAATAGGGCAAAAGATTTGAACACAGAAAACTACAAAACACTGTTAAAAGAAATTAAACACAAATAAATGAAAAGAAAAGCTGGGTTTGCAGATTAGATGATTTCATCTTGGAATGATGTCAACACTACTCGAAGTGACCTAGATTCAATACAATCCTCATAAAGATTCCAATGACATTTTTGATAAACAGAAAAACCTATCTTAAAACTCATATGGAATCTCCAGGGCCCATGAATAGGCAAATCAATCTTGAAACAGAACAAAATTAAAGGTCTCAAAGCAATTATAAAACTGCAATAAGCCAAAAAAAAAATGTGGTCATGGCATAAAGACACTCTTGACACACTTATGGACCAACACAACAGAGACCTCAGAAACCAACCCTGGCATATATGGTCCGATGATCTTCCACAAGGATGCCAAGACCACTCAATGGCAAAGCACACTTTCTTCAACAAATGGTGTTGGGAAAATTGTATAACTACATGCAAAACAATGAAGTTGGACTCTTACCTTACACCACGTTAAAATCAATTCAAAGTGAATTATAAACCTAAATGTAAAACTAGAACTATCAAACTCCTAGGGAAAACAAATTTGGAAAATGCTTTATGACGATGAATTTGTCAATAATTTTTAGGATATGACATTAAAAGCTCAGGCAGTAAAAGCAAAAATATATCAAACCTAAAAACTTCTGTACCTGAAAGGTCACAACCAACAGGGTAAAAGGCAAACTGTAAAATTAAAAAAAATACCAGTTGAGTGTCCCTTATTTGAAATGCTTGGGATGTGTTTCAGATTTTGTAATATTTGGATTATTCTTACTGGTTGAGGATCTCAAATTCAAACACCTGAGTCTGAGATGCTCCAATAAGTATTTCCTTTGAGTGTCATGTTGGCACTCAAAAAGTTTCAGACTTTGGAGCATTTGGGATTTCAGATTTTTGGATCAGAGACATTCAACCTATAGTTGCTCATCATGTATCTCATAAGAAGTGAACATTCAGAATATGTAAAGAACTCCTACAGAGAGACTACCAGAAGCAGAGAGGAGCAAACACATTTTCACACTAGGGAACCTCCTATCTCTCCTGGATTCCAATTAGGGCAGAGTAAGTGCTAGTTCTCTGCCAACCCAGGATTAGGCCCTGCAGCTGCAGTGAAAATAATCACAGAAGAAAACTAAGAAATAAAAAATGGAGAAAGTGAGACATCAAACTAGAATTACTAGAAACCCCCAGGAAGAAGGAAAAAAAATCCAAGAAAACAGAAAGACAATCAAACCAGTTAATTAAACCTTGGTGTGACCAGAAGATCAGGGTTTCCTAAAGGAGTGGAAATTTATTGACTTGAAGACGATTTATTGATTACTGATTTGAAGAGGAAGAAAACCATGAATGGTCTAAAGCAAAAGCCTAGTGTCTGAAGAAGTCAGTAGGGTGAAAACAAGAGCTGGCCAGAATGTCCACAGATGGTGACAAGTTTGCAAAACCTTTACTAGACTACTTGTGAAGCTAACTAGAGGCCAAGGAGCCAACACTGCCCCTGTCCTTACAGAGAGACCCTACACAGGATTCCCAGATATACATGGAAGGACAACATCTTATCAGGTCCTCTCTGTGCAGATGTGGTTATCATCCCAAATAATGAGCTCCAGCCCCAAGACTGTTCCATCCTCAATTGCTTTGAGTGGGCAATGTAGGCTCTCCACAGACGAGCTACATGTAGGTTCTTTGGGTACCCAGATGGGAGCCGTGAAACATAAACCCTCCATGGTCAGGTGCGTATCTGTTTCCTGCCTTTTTCCCAGCAATCCCCAGGCCTCAGCAGCAGTGGTCTACCTCTGCTGATTCTCATTCAGAATCTAAACTTAGAAACAATTAGAACCTAGACCCCAATTCTACCTGAAAGTAACAGAATAACATAATCTATACCCTGCAGCATGACTGTTTGCCCAACGTAATGAGGATGAACTGAGAGATAATGAATGATCATGACCCTGGCCCAAGTAACAAGAATGAACTGTGAGATAAATGAATGATCATGACCAAAAAACCCCACTACAACACAACAAAATAAAGTGATTAAAAAATGGACAAAGAGCATTCATCCAAAGATGCAAACATGATATACAAATAGCCAACAGATACATGAGATATATGAGAAGATGTGTAACATCACTAATCATTACAGAAATGCAAATAGAAACCACAATGGGACATCACTTCAAACCCAAAAGAAAGTAACAAGTGCAGGTGAAACTGAAACACTTGAACACTGTTGGTGGAAATATGAACTGGCTCCTCAAAAAAATAAAATAAAATGACCATATGATCCAGCCATCCAACTTCTACAGAGACAGAATAACTAGTAGCAGGACCTCAAACAGATATGTGCACACCTATGTTCACAGGAGCATTACACAGCCACTAGGTGGAAGAAACCAAAACGTCTATCCAGGAATAGATGGATAAACAAAAGGATATACATATATATATAGAGAGAGAAAATATATATATATGAAGAAATATTATTCAGCCATAGAAAGGAAGAAAATCCTGACACTTCTGCACATAACATGGAACCTACTTAAAAAACAAATATTATATAACCCTAGGTATATAAGCCAAATTTTTAGAAACACAAAGTAGAATAGTACTTGCCAGGAGGTGGAAGGAAGGGGAAATTAATAGTTGTTGAATGGGTATAGAGTTTTCCAAGATAAAAAAAAATCTAGAAATCTGCTGCACAACAATGTAAATATTCTTAACTCTACAAAACTGTATACTTACAACCGGTTATGATGGTAAATTTTAAGGTATGTGTTTGTTACCAAAATTCGAAATTATAAATTATTTATAAAAATGATCTTTTTTGACACACGGTCTTACTCTGTTGCGCTGGCAGGAGTGGAATGGCATGATCACAGCTCATTGCAGCCTCAACCTCCCAGGCTCAAGCAACCCTCCCACCTCAGCCTCCCAAATAGTTAGAAGTACAGGTGCACACCAAGATGTCAGGCTAAATTTTGGTTTGGATTTTTTTGTAGAGAGGGTTTTGTCATGTTGCCCAGGCTGGTCTCAAACTCCTGGGTTCAAGCAATCCACCTCCCTTGGACTCCCACAGAGCTGAGATTACGAGCATAAGCCAACATGCCCAGCCTATAAAAAAATTTCAAAAAGCCAAAAGATTAATCAAACTGGAATATTTAGAAATATTTAACCCAAAAGAAGATAGGAAAGAATATATAGAAGATCAAAAGACAGACGAAGGCCAGGCATGGTGGCTCATGCCTGTAATCTGAACACTTTGGGAGGCCAAGGTGGGTAGATTGCTTGAGCTCAGGAGTTCAAGACCAGCCTGTGCAACATGGCAAAACCCTATCTCTACAAAAAATATAAAAATTAGCCAGGTGTGGTGCCATGCACCTGTAGTCCCAGCTACTCAGGGGGCTCAAGTGAGGATTGGTTGGGCCTGGGAGGCAGAGGTTGCAGTGAGCCAAGATTGCACCATTGCACTACAGTCTGGGTGACAGAACAAGACCCTGTCTTAAAAAAAAATAAACAAACAAATAGAAAATAACTAGAAAAATGGCAGACCTAAATCCAACCTTAGCAATGATTAGTTACAATGTAACTGGACAAATACTCTACTTAAGACAGAGACTGCCAGACCTGAGAGGAAGGCAAGACCCAACAATATGGCATCCACAGAGACACAATTTAAACACAAAGACACAAAGTATGAGAAAAAATATGCTATGCAGACACTAAACATAAAAACATGCTATCCAGACACTAATCATAAAAAGCTTCAACAGAGATGTTAACACTAGATGAAAGAGGCTTCAGAACAAAATATATCACCAGAAATAAACAGGGTAATTTAATAAAAATAAAAGAATCAGAGAGGATGATGTTACAATTATAAATTGTGCCTCAAAGTGCACACAAACTACACAAACACACACAGAGCCTCAAAGTATGTGAATCAAAAACAATAGAACAAAAGCAGGAAATTGACAATCCAAAATTATAGCTGGTGAATTAATACTGCTCTCTCAGTAACTGATGGAACAACCAGATGAAAATATAGGAAAATACGGATCTAAATGACAAAATCCTGACCCAAATGGTACTTGGCAGTGCCAAGATAGACTGTATGTCAATCGATTGAGAAAAGGTTCAAGCCTGAAATAGTATACAAAGTATGTTGTCTGAACACTTGAAATTAAATTAGAAACCAACAACAAATTGATATCCAGAAAAGCCTCAAATGTCTAAAAACCAAGTAATAAACTTTGAAATACCCTGTGAGTCAAAAAAGTATTCACAAGGGGAACTGGAATGTATTTGGAATAAACTTGTTATAAAAATCTCATTTCTGGTAGACTAAAGGTGACAAATTCTTTCCTGCTCCTCTCTCTGTGAGAACCAATTCCCCTTAAACCTTGACCAGACTAGTGACTTATTTGGCCAACAGAAGGTGACAAAGGTGGTATTTGGGGACTTCAGAAGCCAGGCTGAGAAAACAGAACACTTATCCAGGAGAAAGCCAGTCACTAGGCAGGAAATCCCACTCCCCTGAGACCTCATGATGGAAACCACAAGGCCAGTCCATGACTAGCTACACACATTGACATCCCCCACTGAGCCTCCAGCAACACCGACTCCCAACAACTAGTGAGCCTTCAGCAACATCCACTCCCAACCACTAAAGAGCCACCCTGCACACCACCCCACTGTGCTTTCACACAATCCAACTTGGCTGCAACTGTGTGTGAGATGAGCTGGCCACCAAGACTCTCTAAGCCAAAAAACAAGTAATAATGAGTTGTTTTACTTCAGAATAGATAACTGGAACAGAATATGGCAGCTGGAAATGAGCTGCTGTGGTAATCAGAAGCTACAATATGTGACACGACTGTGAGGCTGACCTGTAACTGGGCCTCAAGGAGACCATTCATGCAACCTGGAAGGGCATCAAGACTCTTGGTCAGGGCCTGAAGGACGGTGAGAAAATGTCATTGGAAACTGGAGAAAAGGCGTGAGAGTTACGTGCTGAGGGACTGTGGGAAAACTACGGCCACAACATGGAAACTGAAAAGGCACTGCACCATCTCAGGGATCTGCCTAAGGAGACATCTGGGAAGAACATGGAAAGTGCTACCAGCCTACCCTAACTGTCATTGAATAAATATGACAGGAGAGGGACATGATCTAAAGAAGAAGGTTCAGTTTTCAAACAGAATTTAGAGAAAATATAAAGAAATAATTTCTTGTCTCAAAAGGCCAAAGTAAAAAAAAAAAGAAAAGAAAAGAAAAGGAAAAAAAAATGAAAAAGAAGCCATTGAATACCCTATTGACCCTAAGAAAAAGGCAGGGAAAGTTGGTCAACGGCAACCCAGGCACCGAAGGAAAAAGAACATGGAGAATGACAAAAGCCCAGAGGGAGGAGTAAAAGGACACAAACACCATTCTCAGGGACCAGGACTGGGTGCCGTTCTCAGGGACCAGGACTGGGCACTAATCACAGAACTGTAACAGGCCCCCCATGGGAATGACCAACTCTTAGACGAGGCCTGCAGGGCAGCACTTCCCTCTTGCCTCCCACCAAAGCTTCTAAAGGGAAATGTCGACTGTTTTCACAGCAGTCCCCTCACTGCGGCTGAGTTTGTGGGCTCAGATGATAGCTCACAACAACCTGATTCAGTCCCCACTGTGGCTGTGTGTGGGGGGTCAGATGACAGGCCACCACAACTTGATTCAGTCCCCACTGTGGCTGTGTGTGGGGGGTCAGATGACAGGCCACCACAACTTGATTCAGTCCCCACTGTGGCTGTGTTTGGGGGGGGGCAGATGACAGGCCACCACAACCTGATTCAGTCCTCACTGCGGCTGAGTGTGTGTGGGTGCAGGTGACAGGCCACCACAACCTGATTCAGGATTCAGTTGGGCTACTAGCCAGTGCCATAAGTAAAACCATTCTGGGGCTCTTGAGAGGGGCAAAGCATAATTTGCATGTGGGAGAAACGTTAATAGTTTGTGGCCAGAAGACACGCTGTGGTTTATTAAAGACTGCTGCAGGTTCCTACTATGCTTCTCATCAAGAGGTGGAATCTAATCACCTTCCCCCCTTGAATCATGGCTGGTCTCAGTGATGAGCACGACTGGACAGTGTGGCAGGAGAGATGCTCTGGGACTTCTGAGGGGTGATCATGAGAGGCCTTACAGATTCTGCCTGGGCCTCTTGGACACACACCTTGGGAGAAGCCAGACAAACCTGACTACCTGACGCTGCCAGACTGGGAGGAAGTCCGTGCTGGCCACAAAGAGAGGGCTGGGTGCCTGCTCCATGTCCCCAGCCACTAGAGTCCTTCCAGATGAGACCAGGGACATCATGAAGCAACCAACCAACACCACCCTGTCCAGTGTCTTGACCCAGAAAATTGTGACATGTAAAAAGAATAAATTCCTGGTTTAAGCCAGTAAGGTTACGGGTACATTGTTATATCTCAGATAATTAAAACCTTGAAAAACTCATGAGAGATCACAAGTAGAACCTTGATCTGAAACATGGCATGTGGCGATTTATATTGAGTATTAGGTTAAAAATGCAAGAATGGAGCATAGTTAATATTTTACATTAAAGCTAAAACCATAATTGCCTACTTAAAATTTTCAGTTAATTAGGTTGTCACTTTTTGTTCTTAACCAAGAAATCAACTAGTTTTAGTCCATAAACAGTTAGAACTGATGCACACATCCGTTTTTCCTTACTCATTTTAAACAGCTATCTGAAATAGGAAGTGTAATATAATCTTTAAAGAATCTGAAAACATGACAGAAATGTTTAAACTATAAACATATATTGTATATGTTAGCATATTGTATACATTGCATATTAACATTAAGCTAGAATCATTGACATAAATTTATATAAACAAAAGGTATAAAATATGACAATGTTCTTCTTGTTTTTTGTCTTTGCATATTTCTTTATTGGCCCTTGTCAAAAGTGACCCACTAACTCCTGAATGCTTTGTCTCTCCCCAGGGATTCCTAAGGATGTCACCACAGTGTTGGCCAGATGCACAGGTCACAGGGGACTGAACCTCATCACCCCACAAACATACCATTCAGGTTTTGCCAAGAATGACACTGTAAATGTAACAAAGCTTCTGTGCTTGTTAGTGAACACCAACTCAGCTCCTCTCCTGTATTCAGAAATCAGGATGAGATGAAAACAACAAGCAGGCCAGGCACGGTGGCTCATGCCTGTAATCCCAGCACTTTGGGAGGCCGAGGCGGGCGGATCACCTGAGGTCGGGAGCTCGAGACCACCCTGATCAAAACAGAGAAACCCCATCTCTACTGAAAATACAAAATTAGCCAGGCGTGGTGGCAAATGCCTGTAATACCAGCTACTCAGGAGCTGAGGCAGGAGAATTGCTTGAACCCGGGAGGTGGAGGCTGCAGTGAGCCAGGATCACACCACTGCGCTCTAGCCTGGGCAACAAGAGCGAAACTCTGTCTCAAAAGAAAAAAAATTAAAAATAAAAGAACAAGGAAACAAAAGTAACAAGGCTTGAAGCCAGATGAGCCTGAATCTAAGCAAGAAAAGCCCAGAAGAAATCCCATTTTGGGTCACTGGCTGCATGGTAGTAATACCATACACATAAGGGAAGAGAGGAGGATGTGGCTTTCACTTTGAATTTTTTGAGCTTAAGGTAACTTTTGCGTAGCTACAAAGAAGAATTCAACAGAGATTTAAACCTATGATGGAAAGACTGAAGGGGTCCAAGCTGTAGAGAAACAGGACTGCAAACCACAAAGGGCAGAATCAGTCAAGGAGAGCTTCAGGGTGGGATGAACAGGGACCAATGGAACATTTGGACAAGCTGTTGAGAAGAAAGGAAAATTCAGAGAAAAAGAACTGTCAGTGAGGTCATAATAGGAACTGTTACAGTGAACTAAATATGGCCTGGGAAGGACTCTGTACTTCTAGATTTGAGTCCCTGTGGACAAACTGCAACCTAACTTAATAGGTAGAAAGACTGATAACCTAACTTTGGAGTATGCACCTGTAACTATAGCTGAGTCCTGGCCAATCCCAACAGCCAAACTTCTGCCACTCACACACTGCTGAGTGTTCAGCTGTGTTCAAATAAGGCAAATGCTGAGCACCGTAACCAGTCCAGTTGTTTCTGGACCTCACTGCTGAGAACTGTAACGGACCCAGTTGCTTCTGGACCTTACTCCTCACTTCAGATTTCTGTACATCATGTTCCCTTTATTACCTATAAATCTTCCACCATGTAGCTGTGCTGGAGTCTCACCGAATCTGCTGTGATTCTCGGGGCTGCCTGATTCGTGAATCATTCATTGCTCAATTAAGTTCCTTTAAATTTAATTCAGCTGAAGATTTTCTTTTAATAGATGGTGTCAGAAGTGGGATCTGTGGGAGCAGGACTGCTAGGGCCTCCGGAGCTATAGTGTGGTGAGCAGTGTTGCTAGGGCTTCTAATGACCCCCAGGAGTGCTGAGGTACAAGAAAGGCACCTGCAAGGACCGCTCTATGATGGCAGCAGTGGCCCATGTGGAGCAGTTGCTACGGAGACACTGGCTGCAGTGGGGAGGAGTGGCTGGGGCTGTGCACTCCTCAAAGTTAGTGGGAGCCAGGAACAGGTGGGAGACCCAGCCCTTCTAAATTGGCAGGAAGGAGCCCCACCCTCCCAGGCACAGCTGCAGCCATCCACCCATGACAGCAAACCCAGGCATCTTTGCACTCTCAGAGGCCCAGCAAGCCCCCCTGCCCCTGCAGGCCCAGTCATACCTGCTCCCACCACCTGGCATCTCTCCACTCCCAGAGCCCACTCCAACTTCGGATCCAAGTTGAGGTTGAACCCAGGCACAGTCGCAACCCAGCCCAGTTTGTGCAAGCTCAGGGCAGTGCTGACATGCCAGCCCCCTGCCACCTCGGCCCCCTCTACACTTTGGGAACTGATGAGCACAGTAGGGACGTTGAGGTGGGGCTAAGAGTGGCTCAGCACTGGCCTGAAGGCACTCCTCTGCTCGAAAAGCCTGGGCACTGTGGGCATAGCTAACCACCATGCATCTCTCTCAGCTGCTGAGAGCTGAACAGACGTTGGGATGACCTGCCTGCAGAAAGGAGCTACCCACTGCACGTCTCCTCTGAGCTGTACTGTTGCTCAATAAAGCACCTCTTCACCTTGCTCACCTTCTACTTGCCCACATACCTCATTCTTCCTGGACTCAGGACAAGAACTCGGGACCTGCCAACTAGCAGGGCTGAAAGAGGTGTAACATAAACAGGGCTGAAACGCACCCCTTGCTTGCCAAATTGCAGGCAAGAAGAAGAGAAGAGAGAAGGAGAGAAGAGCTGTGGCCCTTCAGGGAGCCCAGACCTAGGAGCTCCCCAAGCCAGGGCTGTGACACCTTATTTGGGGCTCTGCAGTTCCTGCATCTCCAAGATTCCAGGCACCACTGCATTCCCTGATACCCACAGTGGAAGCTGTTTGCAGTCAGCCTGGTCCAGCTGCAGCCTCACAGGGAGCTGGCACCTGTGCCGGTGCCTGGAGCTGCCCACCCCACTGCAGCTGGCATGCTTGGCTGTGTGCAGTGGCCAGATCCCATGCTCACTTGCTCACACACCCTTCACTGCTCTGTACCCAGCTCACCCTTGGCAGGTGTGGGATCCAGACCACTAGCATGAGCCGAGTGGACAGAACGAACACAGTGGGCCCGAGCAAAACACAGGTAAAGGTGCCACCAGCCAGAGGTTTCAGGCAGAAAAGTGATGCCTCAGGATTCTGTAACACTTGTGCCCTTTGACCTCTCAGAGCATCTGGGGATCGTGGTAAATTCTCTCTCGGATTTCAGAGCTCCATGGATTTGTGTTTTGAGCTGAGTTTCTCTGAGCAAATTTCTGTTCCAAACTGCTATCCAGCCATGACTGGCTGGATGTTTTAGAAGTTATGACAGAAATGGGACTGGGTCCAGGATCAGATGTGATCTAGTAATTAACTGGCTTGAATCCAGTTCCAGTTAGAGGCCTCCTACATCTGAATGGGTCAGAAAGAAAGTGGTAGTAAATGATAATATTGGAGGATTGTAAAATTTGGCTTTTGGAAATTCACGGGGATTTTTGTGTTCTGCCCCTTTGTTTCATTTTCCTCACACGCTTAGGTAGGAAAAAAAATAATTGGCTAAGTCAATCAAGGGAACCTGGGAGTAAAGCCAATATATTAGGTAAAAATAGGATCCTTAATTTCTGGAAAACTAAGTTCTTTCTGGCTAATTCATTAGGCCTGGGAAGCAGCAAAGTCTTACAGAAATGGCAAAATCTTACTAAAGATAACTTATAGTGGAACATTCCAAATGAATAATGCCCTGAAGTGCATTTAAAAATGAGGGCTCCCAAATTAGTCTCATCTAGGGATGCCTATTAACATGCAGAAGCTTCTAAAAAGATTTAGAGATGGCACGGCCTATCTGGGAGCAAGTTTGAGTCTTACCAGTTTGACACTGGGTGTTAAGCAAAGTGGCTCGTGTCTATGTTTTGTCACATATATTTTGCTCTGAGCAGAATGAAAAATGTTAATTTGGTTACTCCAAGCAACCCCTTGGGCAGCATCTTGCAAAGCTGAGTGGATTCTTCCTGTGGCTCCATGATTTCCATTGTGATGCAGCTTGGCCCCCAGAGCTATAATGTGGTGAGGAGGGTGACAGAGCAAGACGCTATATTTAAAAAAAAATGGCCTGGGGCAGTGGCTCATGGCTGTAATCCCAACACTTGGGGAGGCCGAGGCAGGTGGATCACATGAGGTCAGGAGTTCAAGGCCAGCCTGACCAACAAGGAAAAACCCGTCTCTACTAAAAACACAAAATTAGCTGGGCATGGTGGGGCATGCCTCTAATCCCAGCTACTCAGGAGGCTGGGGCGGGAGAATCGCTTGAACCTGGGAGGCAGGGGGTTGCAGTAAACCGAGATCGCACCATTGCACTCCAGCCTGGGCAACAAGAGGGAAAATCCATCTCAAAAAAGAAAAGAATAATAGATTTGCCTGTAAGGTTTTATGAAAAAGTGGGTGACATTTGGCTTTCTCTCTTTAAAGAAGACTTTCAGAAAATATTAAAAAATAATGGGAGGAGGAGCCAAGATGGCCGAATAGGAACAGCTCCGGTCTACAGCTCCCAGCATGAGCGATGCAGAAGATGGGTGATTTCTGCATTTCCATTTGAGGTACTGGGTTCATCTCACTAGGGAGTGCCAGACAGTGGGTGCAGGACAGTGGGTGAAGTGCACTGTGCACTAGCCGAAGCAGGGCGAGGCACTGCCTCACTCGGGAAGTGCAAGGGGTCAGGGAGTTAGTTCCCTTTCCTGGTCAAGGAAAGGGGTGACAGATGGCACCTGGAAAATCGGGCCACTGCCACCCTAATACTGAGCTTTTCTGACGGGCTTAGGAAACGGCACACCATGAGATTATATCCTGTACCTGGCTCGGAGGGTCCTACGCCCACGGAGTCTCGCTGATTGTTAACACAGCAGTCTGAGATCAAACTGCAAGGCAGCAGCGAGGCTGGGGGAGGGGAACCGGCCATTGCCCAGGCTCTCTTAGGTAAACAAAGCAGCCTGGAAGCTCGAACTGGGTGGAGCCCACCACAGCTCAAGGAGGCCTGCCTGCCTCTGTAGGCTCCACCTCTGGGGGCAGGACACAGACAAACAAAAAGACAGCAGTAACCTCTGCAGACTTAAATGTCCCTGTCTGACAGCTTTGAGGAGAGCAGTGGTTCTCCCAGCATGCAGCTGGAGATCTGAGAATGGGCAGACTGCCTCCTCAAGTTGGTCCCTGACCCCTGACCCCCGAGCAGCCTAACTGGGAGGTGCCCCCTAGCAGGGGCAGACTGACACCTCACACGACCAGGTACTCCTCTGAGACAAAATTTCCAGAGGAACGATCAGACAGCAGCATTCGCGGATCACGAAAATCCGCGGTTTTGCAGACACCACTGCTGATACCCAGGCAAACAGGGTCGGGAATGGGCCTCTAGAAAACTCCAACAGACCTGAAGCTGAGGGTACTGTCTGTTAGAAGGAAAACTAACAAACAGAAAGGACATCCACACCAAAAACCCATGTGTACATCACCATCATCAAAGACAAAAAGTAGATAAAACCACAAAGATGGGGAAAAAACAGAACAGAAAAACTGGAAACTCTAAAAAGCAGAGCGCCTCTCCTCCTCCAAAGGAATGCAGTTCCTCACCAGCAACGGAACAAAGCTGGATGGAGAATGACTTTGACGAGCTGAGAGAAGAAGGCTTCAGACGATCAAATTACTCTGAGCTACGGGAGGACATTCAAACGAAAGGCAAAGTTGAAAACTTTGAAAAAAATTTAGAAGAATGTTTAACTAGAATAACCAATAGAGAGAAGTTCTTAAAGGAGCTGATGGAGCTGAAAACGAAGGCTCAAGAACTACGTGAAGAATGCAGAAGCCTCAGGAGCTGATGTGATCAACTGGAAGAAAGGGTATCAGCAATGGAAGATGAAATGAATGAAATGAAGTGAGAAGGGAAGTTTAGATAAAAAAGAATAAAAATAAATGAGCAAAGCCTCCAAGAAATATGGGACTATGTGAAAAGACCAAATCTACATCTGATTGGTGTACCTGAAAGTGATAGGGAGAATGGAACCAAGTTGGAAAACACTGCTGGATATTATCCAGGAGAACTTCCTCAATCTAGCAAGGCAGGCCAACATTCAGATTCAGAAAATACAGAGAATGACACAAAGATACTCCTCGAGAAGAGCAACTCCAAGACACATAATTGTCAGATTCACCAAAGTTGAAATGAAGGAAAAATTGTTCAGGGCATTCAGAGAGAAAGGTCGGGTTACCCTCAAAGGGAAGCCCATCAGACTAACAGCGGATCTCTCGGCAGAAACCCTACAAGCCAGAAGAGAGTGGGGGCCAATATTCAACAATCTTAAAGGAAAGAATTTTCAACCCAGAATTTCATATCCAGCCAAACTAAGCTTCATAAGTGAAGGAGAAATAAAATACTTTACAGACAAGCAAATGCTGAGAGATTTTGTCACCACCAGGCCTGCCTTACAAGAGCTCCTGAAGGAAGCACTAAACATGGAAAGGAACAACCGGTACCAGCCGCTGCAAAATCATGTCAAAATGTAAACACCGTCGAGACTAGGAAGAAACTGCATTAACTAACGAGCAAAATAACCAGCTAACATCATAATGACAGGATCAAATTCACACATAACATTATTAACTTTAAATGTAAATGGACTAAATGCTCCAATTAAAAGACACAGACTGGCAAATTGGATAAAGAGTCAAGAACCATCAGTGTGCTGTATTCAGGAAACTCATCTCACGTGCAGAGACACACATAGGTTCAAAATAAAAGGATGGAGGAAGATCTACCAAGCAAATGGAAAACAAAAAAAGGCAGGGGTTGTAATCCTAGTCTCTGATAAAACAGACTTTAAACCAACAAAGATCAAAAGAGACAAAGGCCATTACATAATGGTAAAGGGATCAATTCAACAAGAAGAGCTAACTATCCTAAATATATATGCAACCAATACAGGAGCACCCAGATTCATAAAGCAAGTCCTGAGTGACCTACAAAGAGACTTAGACTCCCACGCATTAATAATGGGAGACTTTAACACTCCACTGTCAACATTAGACAGATCAACAAGACAGGAAGTCAACAAGCATACCCAGGAATTGAACTCAGCTCTGCACCAAGCGGACCTAACAGACATCTACAGAACTCTCTACCCCAAATCAACAGAATATACATGTTTTCAGCACCACACCACACCTATTCCAAAATTGACCACATACTTGGAAGTAAAGTTCTCCTCAGCAAATGTAAAAGAACAGAAATTATAAGAAACTATCTCTCAGACCACAGTGCAATCAAACTAGAGCTCAGGATTAAGAATCTCACTCAAAACTGCTCAACTACATGGAAACTGAACAACCTGCTCCTGAATGACTACTGGGTACATAAGGAAATGAAGGCAGAAATAAAGATGTTCTTTGAAACCAACGAGAACAAAGACACAACATACCAGAATCTCTGGGATGCATTCAAAGCACTGTGTAGAGGGAAATTTATAGCACTAAATGCCCACAAGGGAAAACAGGAAAGATCCAAAATTGACACCCTAACATCACAATTGAAAGAACTAGAAAAGCAAGAGCAAACACATTCAAAAGCTAGCAGAAGGCAAGAAATAACTAAAATCAGAGCAGAACTGAAGGAAATAGAGATACAAAATCCCTTCAAAAAATTAATGAATCCAGGAGCTGGTTTTTTGAAAGGATCAGCAAAATTGATAGACCTCTAGCAAGACTAATAAAGAAAAAAAGAGAGAAGAATCAAATAGACGCAATAAAAATGATAAAGGGGATATCACCACCAATCCCAGAGAAATACTAACTACCATCAGAGAATACTACAAACACCTCTACGCAAATAAACTAGAAAATCTAGAAGAAATGGATAAATTCCTCGACACATACACTCTCCCAAGACTAAACCAGGAAGAAGTTGAATCTCTGAATAGACCAATAACAGGAGCCGAAATTGTGGCAATAATCAATAGCTTACCAACCAAAAAGAGTCCAGGACCAGATGGATTCACAGCCGAATTCTACCAGAGGTACAAGGAAGAACTGGTACCATTCCTTCTGAAACTATTCCAATCAACAGAAAAAGAGGGAATCCTCCCTAACTCATTTTATGAGGCCAGCATCATTCTGACACCAAAGCCAGGCAGAGACACAACCAAAAAAGGAATTTTAGACCAATATCCTTCATGAACATTGATGCAAAAATCCTCAGTAAAATACTGGCAAAACGAATCCAGCAACACATCAAAAAGCTTATGCACCATGATCAAGTGGGCTTCATCCCTGGGATGTAAGGCTGGTTCAATATACACAAATCAATAAATGTAATCCAGCATATAAACAGAGCCAAAGACAAAAACCACATGATTATCTCAATAGATGCAGAAAAGGCCTTTGACAAAATTCAACAATGCTTCATGCTAAAAACTCTCAATAAATTAGGTATTGATGGGACGTATTTCAAAATAATAAGAGCTATCTATGACAAACCCACAACCAATATCATACTGAATGGGCAAAAACTGGAAGCATTCCCTTTGAAAACTGGCACAAGACAGGGATGGCCTCTCTCACCACTCCTATTCAACATAGTGTTGGAAGTTCTGGCCAGGGCAGTTAGGCAGGAGAAGGAAATAAATGGCATTCAATTAGGAAAAAAGGAAGTCAAATTGTCCCTGTTTGCAGATGACATGATTGTATATCTAGAAAACCCCATTGTCTCAGCCCAAAATCTCCTTAAGCTGATAAGCAACTTCAGCAATGTCTCAGGATACAAAATCAATGTACAAAAATCACAAGCATTCTTATACACCAACAACAGACAAACAGAGAGCCAATCATGAGTTAACTCCCATTCACAATTGCTTCAAAGAGAATAAAATACCTAGGAATCCAACTTACAAGGGATGAGAAGGACCTCTTCAAGGAGAACTACAAACCACTGCTCAATGAAATAAAAAAGGATAAAAACAAATGGAAGAACATTCCATGCTCATGGGTAGGAAGAATCAATATCTTGAAAATGGCCATACTGCCCAAAGTAATTTACAGATTCAATGCCATCCCCATCAAGCTACCAATGACTTTCTTCACACAATTGGAAAAAACTACTTTAAAGTTCATATGGAACCAAAAAAGAGCCTGCATTGCCAAGTCAATCGTAAGCCAAAAGAACAAAGCTGGAGGCATCACACTACCTGACTTCAAACTATACTACAAGGCTACAGTAACCAAAACAGCATGGTACTGGTACCTAAACAGAGATATAGATCAATGGAACAGAAGAGAGCCCTCAGAGATAATGCCACATATCTACAACTATCTGATCTTTGACAAACCTGAGAAAAACAAGAAATGGGACAAGAATTCCCTATTTAATAAATGGTGCTGGGAAAACTGGCTAGCCATATGTAAAAAGCTGAAACTGGATCCCTTCCTTACACCTTATACAAAAATCAATTCAAGATGGATTAAAGACTTAAACGTTAGACCTAAAACCATAAAAACCCTAGAAGAAAACCTAGGCATTACCATTCAGGACATAGGCATGGGCAAGGACTTCATGTCTAAAACACCAAAAGCAATGGCAACAAATGCCAAAATTGACAAATGGGATCTAATTAAACTCAAGAGCTTCTTCACAGCAAAAGAAACTACCATCAGAGTGAACAGGCAACCTAAAAAACGGCAGAAAATTTTCGCAACCTACTCATCTGACAAAGGGCTAATATCCAGAATCTACAATGAACTCAAACAAATTTACAAGAAAAAAAAACCCCATCAAAAAGTGGGTGAAGGACATGAACAGACACTTCTCAAAAGAAGACATTTATGCAGCCAAAAAACACATGAAAAATTGCTCATCATCACTGGCCATCAGAGAAATGCAAATCAAAACCGCAATGTGATACCATCTCACACCAGTTAGAATGGCAATCATTAAAAAGTCAGAAAACAACAGGTGCTGGAGAGGAAGTGGAGAAATAGGAACAGTTTTACACTGTTGGTGGGACTGTAAACTAGTTCAATCATTGTGGAAGTCAGTGTGGCGATTCCTCAGGGATCTGGAACTGGAAATGCCATTTGACCCAGCCATCCCATTACTGGGTATATACCCAATGGACTATAAATCATGCTGCTATAAAGACACATGCACACGTATGTTTATTGCAGCATTATTCACAATAGCAAAGACTTGGAACCAACCCAAATGTCCAACAATGATAGACTGGATTAAGAAAATGTGGCACATATACACCATGGAATACTATGCAGCCATAAAAAATGATGAGTTCATGTCCTTTGTAGGGACATGGATGAAATTGGAAATCATCATTCTCAGTAAACTATCACAAGAACGTAAAACCAAACACCGCATATTCTCACTCATAGGTGGGAATTGAACAATGAGATCACATGGACACAGGAAGGGGAATATCACACTCTCGGGACTGTTGTGGTGTGGGGGGAGGGGGGAGGGATAGCATTGGGAGATATACCTAATGCTAGATGACGAGTTAGTGGGTGCAGCGCACCAGCATGGCACATGTATACATATGTAACTAACCTGCACAATGTGCACATGTACCCTAAAACTAAAAGTATACTAAAAAATAAGAATAAAAAAAATAAAAATTTTTTAAGTCATGATTTTAGGTAAATGAATGACTTACGGTGACGTGGAATTCTATTTCATAACATCAAGTGTTTAAACCTTTAATATATTTAATAGGCTTCCCAAAATCAAATTTCAACTTCAAAATTGTCTTTTCTGACCTCTAACTTTGGGATACTACAGATACCCCCGAAGAACCCAAAAGAGAGGTAAACAGGACTATTTAACATGTTAAGTCACATGGGTAGCACTGTCAAAATAAAAAATAATGTGGAACCTTCCTCAGGTTATATTTAGTGTATGTCATCAATCCATTCTAAAATTGTATAGGATTTCTAAAATTCTTGTATTTTTTTTTTCTGAGATGGAGTCTTGCTCTGTCACCCAGGCTGGAGTACAGTGGCACAATCTCGGCTCACTGAAACTTCCGCCTCCCGGGTTCATGCCATTCTCCTGCCTCAGCCTCCCGAGTAGCTGGGACTACAGGCACCCACCACCATGCCAGGCTAATTTTTGTATTTTTAGTAAAGATGGATTTCACCGTGTTAGCCAGGATGGTCACGATCTCCTGACCTCATGATCCTTCCACCTCGACCTCCCAAAGTGCTGGGATTACAGGCATGAGCCACCACATCCACCCTAATTATGGTTATTAAGTTATTGTAGACCACAGAAATAACCATATTTCCTTGTCAATTGTCTTTAACTATAACTAAAGTCATTTCACAGTTAATTGCTTAATGGTGATGCAGTTTCTAAAAACTTCACAAGCATGCAAAATTCTAGAATATGGTGTCTCTTAGAAGATTCATGAAAGAATGAAAAGGACCC
Source organism: Homo sapiens (assembly GCF_000001405.40). NCBI lineage: Eukaryota > Metazoa > Chordata > Mammalia > Primates > Hominidae > Homo > Homo sapiens. The sequence goes on from NC_000022.11 coordinate 11,966,355, forward strand.
TGAAAAACACTCGTGAACACAGATTTCTAATAACTTTAATATCATGGGTAAAAATTCCCCATAAGTTCCCCGATACCCCAAGAATTGGACTGGCTAAGAATTCTCAACAGTTAGGCTGGGTGCAGCGGCTCATGTCGGCAATCCCAGCACTTTAGGAGTCCAAGGCCGGTGGATCACTTGAGGTCAGGAGTTTGAGACCAGCCTGGCCAAAGGTGAAACCCCACCTCTACTAAAAATACAAAAATTAGCTGGGTGTGGTGGTATGTGCCTGTAATCCCAGCTACTCGGGAGGCTGAGGCAAGAGAATTGCTTGAGCCCAGGAGGCGGAGGTTGCAGTGAGCCAAGATTGTGCCACTGCACTCCAACCTAGGTAACAGAGTGAGACTCTGTCTCAAAAAAAAATATATCAAAAATTTAATAAAAAGACCAACTGGTTTGTAAAACTGCTAACCCAAGTAAAACAAAAATTGTATACCAAGGAAATATTTTGTCACATTTGCATGCTAAATCACCAATATTGAAATTGTTTAGATATATAATTTAAATAAATTCCATGTTCTAAATCAAATTACCTATAACTACTCATCAGTTACCAGTGCCTTGCACCTAATTTGGAGAAACAGCTGGTATTCAAGAGGATGTAAGTCTGATGTTAATTAAGCACAGACCTATGAAGAACCAGGATGGCCACCTTATCCTTCTTAAGTCCTAAAAACTTTTGTTATTAAAAGTTCTGCATTCCATAACTCATCACGGAAAGAGAAAACGATCCAATTAAATATATTGGTGTGGTGATTTCTAAACTGCTAAAATAGTTTATAACCAATGTTTGGTTTGTGAAACCTATATTCCTAGGAAAACAATCAAAACTTCAGGTACATTTGGTTATCTGATGGGCCATTTAAACATTTTATAAAGGGATTTCATTCAGTTTTCATTTTCAGTGCATGTTTTCTGATTGTATAAAAGCTCTTCCATGCGAGAGAGTTGAAGTTAAAACAGTAGATTATTACCCTGAAGTGTATTTTCACCAGGTAAAGAAAGCCTTTTATGGTTCACTGAGGACAGTCAAACCCTTCAAAATCTAGAATCTGATGACTGGATCTTCTGAGAACATCAGAGAAGGACTGCCCTCGCCATCCACATGACAGCAAAACTTTAAAAACTTAAACTTTGGGTTGATAGTCTCACAACTCAGAAGGGTCCCTCCACACTCAGAACCATATGCCCATTGGAACCCTTAAGGTAAAGCTAACAAGGACCGTTCCCCCCAGAAGAAGATGACATCCTTAATGTGAACAGCTTTTCCCAAGATCACAGATCAAGACTTCTCTACTATCATGAGACTCTTATCTTAAGTATCTGTGCAGCTGCTAACACTTACAGCATGTGGAGAAAACATGGGGTATTATAAAGATTTGGTTGTAGGGAATTAACAAAAAAACCACTTAGTTAAGCAAGGAAACTCTTTATCTAATTCATTCTTTAATCTATTTGATTTTAGGTGGTTTGATTTATGGGGACCCTGAGTAAGGAGCATATACCAAATTCTTGGTGTTATCCCAATAGTCATAAGAGTCTCCCTGGTGCACTGTACTTACTCAAATGTTTTAAGAGTTTACATGCAGCCATCTCTAAAATGTCAAATGGTATCTCTTCAACTGGAATGACAAGAGATTAAAAAAAAATGTGCAACCATAAGGACACCGTAACCTATGAGTGACATGCTAAACCAGAAACCCAAAACAATGGGAGTGACATGCTAAACCAGAAACCCAAAACAATGGGAGTGACTTGCTAAAACTGGAACCCAAAACAATGGAAGTGACGTGCTAAAACCGGAAACGAAAACAATGGGAGTGATGTGCTTAAACTGGAACCCAAAACAATGGGAGTGACCTGCAAAACCAGAAACCCAAACAATGGGAGTGAGGTGCTAAAACCAGAACCCAAAACAACGGGAGTGATGTGCTTAAACCGGAACCGAAAACAATGGGAGTGACCTGCTAAACCAGAAACCTAAAACAATGGGAGTGACTTGCTAAAACTGGAACCCAAAACAATGGGAGTGACATGCTAAAACTGGAAACGAAAACAATGGTAGTGATGTGCTTAAACCGGAACCCAAAACAGTGGGAGTGATCTGCTAAACCAGAAATCCAAAACAATGGGAGTGATGTGCTAAAACCGGAACCCAAAATAATGGGAGTGACATGCTAAAACCGGAATCCAAAACAATGGGAGTGATGTGCTTAAACTGGAACCCAAAACAATGGTAGTGACCTGCTAAACCAGAAACCCAAAACAATGGGAGAGTCCTGCTAAACCAGAAACCGAAAACAATGGGAGTGACGTGCTAAACCAGAAACCCAAAACAATGGGAGTGACGTGTAAAACCAGAAACCCAAAACAATGGGAGCGTCCTGCTAAACCAGAAACCCAAAACAATGGGAGTGACTTGTAAAACCAGAAACCCAAAACAATGGGAGCGTCCTGCTAAACCAGAAACCCAAAACAATGAGAGTGATGTACTAAAACCAGAAACCCAAAACAATGAGAGTGACATGATAAACCAGAAACCCAAAACAATAGGAGTGACGTGCTAAAACCTGGAAACCCAAAACAATGGGAGTGAGGTGCTAAAACCAGATACACAAAACAATGGGAGTGACATGCTAAAACCAGATACCCAAAACAATGGGAGTGATGTGCTGCAACCGGAACCCAAAACAATGGGAATGACGTGCTAAACAGGAACCCAAAACAATGGGAGTGACGTGCTAAACCGGAACCCAAAACAATGGGAGTGACGTGCTAAAACCAGAACCCAAAACAATGGGAGTGAAGTGCTAAACCAGAAACCCAAAACAATGGGAATGACGTGCTAAAACCGGAACCCAAAACAATGGGAGTGATGTGCTAAACCAGAAACCCAAAACAATGGGAATGACATGCTAAAACTGGAACCCAAAACAATGGTAACTAAGAGTGATGCTAAGGCCCTACATTTTGGTCACACTCTCAACTAAGTGAGAACTTGACTGAAAAGGAGGACTTTTTTTTTCTAAGACAGAGTTTTGGTCTGTCCCCCAGAGTGGAGTGCAGTGGCATGATCTCGGCTCACTGCAAGCTCTGCCTCCCGGGTTCAGGCCATTCTCCTGCCTCAGCCTCCTGAGTAGCTGGGAATACAGGCACCTGCCACCACACTTGGCTAATTTTTTGTATTTTTAGTAGAGATGGGGTTTCACCGTATTAGCAAGGATGGTCTCAATCTCCTGACCTCATGATCTGCCCACCTCAGCCTCCCAAAGTGCTGGGATTACAGGTGTGAGCCACCACACCCAGCAAAAAGGAGGAATTTTTTAAGCAAAATTATGGGAGGCCATTGTTTTGAACTAAGCTCATGCAATAGGTCCCAACAGACCAAACCAAACCAAACCAAAATGGAGTCACTCATGCTAAATGTAACATAATCAAACTAAGACTTTAGGGAAACACATAAATCCTAGAACAAACCAGGTTTTGTTTTTCTCCTGTAAACAGGATGTTCCAGCATAAGAAGATACCTTCTACTCAAGTCCTTGTTCCACCTTTTCAAATCTCACTGGTCTATTTCCCAGTGGGTTTCTAAACCAAGTAAGTACATTTGCAACGGTAATAGTGACACCAGTGACTGAAGTTTTGGCCAATCTCTCAAAATTGAGAAAATAACCAAAGGGAAGGCATTGTTAAAGTGAACTAAGTATGGCCTGAGAAGGACTCCATAATTCTATATATGAGTCCTTGTGGATGAACTGCAACCTACCTTAATAGGTATACAAGAATGAAGAACTAACTTAAGAGTACGCACCTGGAACAACAGCTACATCTTGACCAATCCCAATGGCCAAACTTCAACCACTCAAGCACTGCCAAATGTTCAAAATGTGTTCAAACAAGGCAAACGCTGAGTTGTTTCTGTACCTCACTTCCGATTTCGGTATGCCACTTCCCTTTTGTCTATAAATCTTCTTCCACCACATGACTGCACTGGAGTCTCTGTGAATCTGCTGTGATTCTGGGGACTGTCCGACTCATGAACCGTTTATTGCTAAATTAAACTCCTTTAAAGTTTTTCTTTTAACAGAACTAACACAGAAGAATTTCCAGATCATGAACAGACGTTTTGTAATACCCAACCTTGTATTAACATGAATAGACTCTTCCTTAGACAGCTAACCTTGTTTTTAATATTAATAGACTCTCCCTTAGCTGAGAAAACCAGACAAACTCCATTTGGCTCCTTCATTAACAAGACATCAAGGGCTCCTTACCCACCCCCTTTCCTCAAGGACTTTAATTTGTGCAAGCTGATTTTCAACATATCAAAGCGTGCAATTAACTGATAAAGTGCTGAGACAAGAGATGTCCCCCGTTCCCAGCAATTTACTTAGAGATAGTACATAAAGCCCCCACATTTGTCAGGCAGATAATGCCCAGAGCCCCCTCACCTATCACTTTGTGGTGAATTTAAAGCCCCTACACCAGGAACAGTTTGTTTTCCTGTAACCATCTGTCTTTCTAAGTTTTTTGTCTGTTTTTTTCTTCTGTAAAGTTGCTGCAGCTAGAATCCCCCCTCCCCTCTCTAAACCAAAGTATAAAAGAAAATCTTGTCCCTTCTTTGGGGCCTAGATAATTTCGTGCGTTAGCCATGTCTCAGTCGCTGGCTAGTAAAGGACTCCTGAATTCGTCTCAATGCGTGGCATTTCTCTCTAACTCACTCGGGTACGACAGTTTCAACTATGGTAGAAGACTCGAGTAAGGCAAATACAGTCCCCCTAAATTTGACTATTATTCAGGTTAATGGTGAGTTTAGAAGAAATAAGGCTACACAGAGTGGGCTAAAGTGCAAATAAACACTGGAAAGATTTCCCAGAAAATATGACTTTGAACAGGCTGCTGCACATCCTGCATGAGACAAACTAAGAAAAAGTGTGGAGAGTTATTTAAGGACCTATGGTTAACTCAGTCCTCAAGATGTTCCGGGTTTCATCCATGAATCAAGGAGGACCTCCCAAAGGCTGTTTGGGACCACAATCTTTGAGCAAGGAGCATACATTACGATGGAAGCTGTGCTTTAGCGGCAGATGACCATTTCCACTGCACAACACGCCGTGCTTTAGCGGAAGATGACCGTTTCCACTGCACAACACTACAAGTGTTTACTGCCAGGCCGGTGTGAAATATGTTCCAGCACATAATCTATGTCACCAATGAAGGTGGTGGTTCAGACTTGGTGCACGCAAGCTTTCCTGTCTCACAAGAACACAGCATGCTCTCTTCTCGGGTTCCATTCTAATCACGTAACAAACATGACTGCCTTTTTTGTCTCAGCATCAGAAAGATCAGAGGAAAATTTGCACTCAACTTAGACAACTCTAAGCTCTTACAACCTGCCTATATCTACAGGTCAGCTTTATCTTATTTATGTATATTTCCTTCAACCTGAGTTTTACTTATTTCTACTTTTCCTTTTTAATTCACAGACACCCATAAACTCAGAAAATACAGTGTAAAACAAAGTGAAGAACAAATAAACAACTCACCAGAGATTTATTCGTTTCTTGTTGCTCTTGGAAACACCCAGGGGACACTGGAAACATAGCTGGGATAGAAGGCAAATGACGTGGATTAAGGAGAGAACTGGTGTGGTGTGGTCCCAGATTCTTCTGCCCAACACTCTAGACACATTACCTGGGAAAGCCCTCCTCCCTCCTGAAAAAGACAAACTTCCCCAGGGGAGAAGAGTCCTTCACGCCTCATTAGGGGCAGCAAAGACTCAAGTTAAGATAAGATACATCTACAAGTACATTAATTGGTAGACATTAGATGCACAATTTATTTTTGAATAAAAATATATATTACCTACTAATTTAGTAACAATATTATCTAAAGATATAATCTAATAATTTAATACAAAGAAACATTATAAGTTCACTAAAATAAATGTTATAGAAATATACTGGGCTATATTAGCTATTTTCCTATTAATATGTAGATTCCACAAACAACTTCATAAGAGTGTTCCCATGACAGTACATCTTGCTTTTCTATACCTGAACATCATGGAAAGTGCATCTTGCAAACCAGCAATTTTGGCCTACAATTACGTTTTTAAAAATGTACATAATATGTATTTCCTGCAGTACACCATTCTACTCATGTTTCCCAATAACACCTTTCCTTCTATCCAAGCCCTCATATTATGCTCTGACAATAAATTGGGCTTTTCCATCTGACTTGTCCAGTGAATGGACAATGGAAAATGTGATGCAAATATCCATTGGTTCTTCCCTTTTTGGGGGAAATTGTGAAGAGGTCTGGAGCTACCCTGTTGGAGACACAGGGCCTAGCCAAGAGTCACCACAAACCACCAGATTGTGAAGGAAACTATCTTAAACCAACCAGGCTCAGTCAAGGCACCAGGTGACTAAGGCCTTTTTGTGATCCAGGCAACACACATATATCAACTACCCAGCTGAACGCACCACACCAAAATGCAGATCCACAGAACTTCAAACAAATAAAATGGTGGTTGTTTTTTATAAGCCAGTAAGGTTTAATTAGTTCCTTAAATAGCAAGTATTAACTGTTACACCTAAGTGAACAGAATTCACTTCTGTGTTTTTAACAAAATTACGTAGGGGGAGAAAATCTTAAATTACAAATCAAATACAATCAATAGAACTTCGCAATCTAATGCTAAATTTGGGGATGGACTAGGTTTAATATATCTCAGACGCTGGAAAAAACGAGCTAAGGTTGAAGGAATGGGACTGTGTTTGGAGAGTATTTTAATCCTCTCAAGTATGACAGGTCACTGCTGTACCCCAGACCACACTTTCAGGCCCCTTCAAATAAGGAATATTTCCTAAGTCCTTGCCTGTTCTTCTCAGCTGAATTCACCTCAACCTTCTGAAAGTTCGTCCAAACCTTCTACTATCACCTAGTCTTTGCAAATCTTGTGCATTCTAGGGAGTAGAATTAATATTTCCTGAGCAAGGAAAACTGGGATCTTCACCTGTGACCTTTTTTCCTCCTCTGAAGCACCAGAGAGAGGTTAGACCAGATGGCTGTTCTTTCAAGTGTGCTTCTTATTCATAGGGAACCCTCCCTTTCAAACTTTGTAACACACAGTTAAGACTGAAGTACCCTTAAGGCTGACGACCATCATCCATTACGCCATCTCCCTCGCGGAATCAGTGAGTTCTTCCCTGGAAACTAGGTCTCGTATAAACTTCTGTAAATGCGACCCAGGAGGACTAGGCAGGTCACACAGTGAAGGAGGGAACCAGAAACTTCACTTGCTAAAGAGACACTAGGAAACCCAACTAATACAAACGCCAAGTTTAAGACTAGAGGCGCACGCATTTCACACTACTCCTCTGGGAATGGGGAACGTCTCCCGAGAACTGTGTGTTAGCACTGGGACAGATGGGCAAACTGAGCGTCATGCGGGTTGGTAACCGGGTCCCTCAGCGGCAGGACAGGAGCGCGGCCTGCAGACTCCCGGCCCAGGGCCACCGGCCTCTCCTACCTGCTCCTGCGCCTCTAGAATCCGCTTCACTGCCGGGACCCCACGCCTGTTCTCCCAGCCCCCGCCAGGGTCCACGGCCGGCACCTGCACTTCAGGCCCTGCCCGCCCGCAATGCGCCCACGCGTCTGCTCCCACAACGAGGGGACACTGGTCCGGCCCCCCGGGATCCCCTGAGGCCCACGGGTTCCTCTTCGCCCTTGCACCGACCCGCAGGGACATAGAACCAAGCCACAAGCCGGCCCAGCTACAGGACCGCCTCTGGGTGCCGCACTTCCGGAGGAAAATGGCGGAGTGGGCCGGGCGGCGCACGCGCAGAGAGAAAAGCTGGTTCCCAAGGTCCTTGATGGTAACATCATTGGAAGGTGACACTACAATTCCCATGAGGCTTTGCGGTCCCCCGTTAGGAACCCACGCCGGACATTCTGTTTTGCCCAGCAGTTGAGTCCAGTTACCCAGAGACCCGGACTTAATGTATCAGGACTGGTCCCTACCCAGGTGACACAGATGTGGCATTCTGGTTCTTTATTAAATCCTGGTTTCACAGCCTGGGACATTGTGAAAATAATGGAGAAATTTCAATAGAGGCCAATTGGTCTATGCTATGAATAAGTTTTTTTTTTTTTTTTTTTTTTTTTTCTTTTTGAGACGGAGTCTCACTCTGTCGCCCAGGCTGGAGTGCAATGGTGCGATCTCGGCTCACTGCAACCTCCGCTTCCTGGGTTTAAGCGATTCTCCTCCCTCAGCCTCCTAAGTACCTGGGATTACAGGCGCGCGCCACCACACTCGCCTAATTTTTGTATTTTTAGTAGAGATGGGTTTTCACCATGTTGGTCAGGCTGGTCTCCAACTCCTGACCTCGTTATCCACCCTCCTAGTTCTCCCAAGGTGCTGGGATTACAAGCGTGAGCCAGCCCTCAAGTCTATTTTTTATAGATGCATTCGAAAGCATGAAAAAAATCATGTCTCTTTTTTACTTTAAAAATTTAAAAACACAACTAATGAATATGGTAATTCTCTTCCAATCCGTTATCTTTTCTCTCACTAAACTAATTTGTGAGCCTTCAATTTACACTGTTAGAAAATATGCTCTAGTGCATATACTGGGATAAAATAACAGGGTCATAAGACAGGTGCACTCCATAATCTTTGTGACAACTTACACTTCCAGTGTCTGATAAATATTTGCCCGTAGACTCCCACGTTTCATCCATCCATCCATCAATCATATCTAGCTATCTTTATTTATTTATTGTGAGAAAGACCTGAAATTTGCCTTTCCTTCCCTGATTTCTGCCACAAACTAGGCAAGGAGTTCTGCCTAGGGGTTTCTCAGAGCTCCGGCTACCACCGAGGTTCCTAACAGGGAAACGCAGGCTTGAATGCTCAGGGTTGATGTGGGAGTGCGTGTGAAACGGGGGTGGGGTGAAAGGGCAGTGACGTTTGTAGGTGGGCAGATGGGGGTGTGATGGGCTTTCAGGTAAGAGGCACGCAGGAACCTGGGAGGGGCAGCGAAAGCACCTCACGCCTCAGATCACCGGAAGACGCTCCCACCAGTGCCATGACAGTTTGCCAATGCCATGGAATCACGAGAAGTCCCCACCCCTTGCCATGGAAACAGATGGAAGTTACTGCCCATTTCTAGCTATTTCTGAATAACCCGCCCCTTAATTAGCATGCCATTAAAAGTGAATTATAAAAATGACTACAAGCCACCCCTAGGCTGCTGCTCTGGGAGCACAACCCACGGAGGGCTCCCTGTCCTGCCGGAGTGGACGCAGGGCTGTAACACCGTCAATGCCTCCGTAGAGCTGCTTTCTTCCACCACAGGCTTGCTTTTGGATTTCTTCCTGAGCGATGCCAAGAACCTGCCCTTCCTCAGTGTGACTCTTGCCTAAAACCTATCCCTGGTATTCTCTTTTCCTAAGCATGCCCTGACTTGTTCTTTCATCTCCTCTGATCTTGCAATTGGTTCTCAGTGACTCTATTCTGCAGATCCAGAAAACTCAACCTTAATCTTCCCAGAGCCCTGTTGTCTCTAATATTGGAATCTCTAGCCTTGTTTTCTCAGACGCCTAGATTACAGGCCTCTCTCTTGAACACCTATTGGTATGGTATCTGGGGATCCTTTAAATACTTGATGATTGGCAGGGGTTAAATAGCGGAAATCAGTGCTTGACAATTCGCCTTCCAGGATATGGACTGTCATTCCCTCTCTTGGTGGGCCTTAGTCTCTTATCCATAAAAGTAGAGATTGTAATACTCATTTGAATTGCAGATACCTCAACCCGAACCCACCTAATATAATGTAAAAGCCAAGAATGCAACCCCTTTCCTCACCCCGTGAAGGTAAAGCCCTCAGAGTCAAGGAGAGAAGGCTCAGGGATGGTATCTGGGTGTTTCCAACGCTAACCATGTATTGTAGTTTTTAGTGTTCAAGTTTAAGCTTCCCCAGCTTTAATTCTATTGTAACAAGATTTATTTTTGTAATTCCATTTTTGGATTCTTGATTTCTTGGTAAAGAAATACATTTATTTTTGTATACCAATCTTATATAGTGTTACATTCTTTAATTTGTTCATGAGTCCTAACACTTTTTAGTAAATTTCTTACGATTTTCTAAATGCAAGATCATGTCATCTGTACATAAAGATAACTGTACTTCTTCCTTTCCAATCTAGATGCTGTTTATTTATTTACATTGCCAACTTGTCCCAGCTACCACTGTTATCAAGTAAAAGGGTCTCACTGCCCAAAGCACAAGAAGCCAGTACGATGACACTGAGTTTTCGAGAAAAGAAAAAGTTTAAAGTCAAACCAAAACCTAGGGTACAGGCCGGGGGCAGTGGCTCATGCCTGTAATCCCAGCACTTTGGGAGGCCGAGGCTGGCGGATCATAGGGTCAGGAGATTGAGTCCATCCTGGCTAACACGGTGAAACCCCGTCTCTACTAAAAATACAAAAAACAAAAATTGGCCGGGCGTGAAGGCGGGCGCCTGTAGTCCCAGCTACTCGGGAGGCTGAGGCAGGAGAATGGCGTGAACCTGGGAGGCGGAGTTTGCAGTGAGCCGAGATCGCGTCACTGCACTCCAGCCTGGGCAACAGAGTGAGACTCCGTCTCAAAAAAAAAAAAAAAAAAACCTATGGGATACAATAAAAACAGTACTACAGTACTAAGAGGTAAGTTTATAGAAAAAAGCACCTACATCAAAAAAAGTAGAAAAGCTTCAAATAAACAACCTAATAATGCATCTTAAATAATTAGAAAAGCAAGAGCAAACCAAAACCAAAATTAGTAGAAGGAAACATAGCAAAGATCGGAGCAGAAATAAATGAAATTGAAATTTAAAAATATAAAATATCAATGAAATGAAAAGTTAATATTTTTAAAAGACCAACAAAATCAACAAACACTTAACCAGACTAAGAAAAAAGAGAGAAGATTCAAATACATAAAACCAGAGATTAAAAAGGAGACACTATAACTGATACTGTGGAAATTCAAAGAATCATTAGAAACTATTATGACCGACTATATTCCAATAAATTGAAAAACCTGGAAGAAATGGCTGGGCACCGTGGCTCATGCCTGTAATCCCAACACTTTGGGAAGCCAAGGCAGGTGATC